>NW_025791754.1:697914-847441 GCF_000001405.40 Homo sapiens
GAATTCAGAAGGGATTGGTGGGCCAGATGAAGGACTGGCAAATGACAGTCATGGGGAACTGTGGCCTGCTGCCTATTTTTGTAGGGCTCTGACTACAATGGTTTTTACATTTTGATATCTTTTTAAAATTAAAGTAAGAAAAATCATTTGATAATTAAAATATTCATAAAATTTATATGAAATTTACATATTTGTGTCCATAAAGTTTTATTGGAACACAACCATGTTCACTAGTTTACATATTCCCCATGGCTGTTTTTACACTATCAGGGCCAACAGAGTAGTTGCAACAGAGACCACAGAAGCTAGAATGTCCCGTCCTCTCACCTGGCCTAACCGGGCCTTCAGGTGGAAATGTTTTGTTACCAAGTAGAGGTAACAGGCCAGTAAGTTTGTACATTTCTAATCCTATCCCATGTGAATGAAAATAAACCAAGAAAGAAGCCTTAGCAAGATTCTTATTTCCAGTGAATAGGTTAACTCCATGGTCAAACCTGATATTTCTTTTTGGAGAGGAAAGTTTGGGTTAAAATAAGTGATAGATAAAAAGAAGGTGACATAATTGCCTAAATAAGAGATCTAACAAATATACTATTTAAAGGGAAAAATCAAACATAACTTTGCTTCTAGAGAGTCTTACAGCAAAAAAATAATTTTCTCTCTTACCTTTTAGTCTGATGTCTGTTACAGTGAAATACCTTGTCTCTCAAAGACCCTACTGAGAGGCGACAATGTGCTGGCAGCCCTCGCAGCCCTCGCAGCCCTCACTCGCTTTTGGTGCCTCCTCGGCCTTGGTGCCCACTCTGGTCGCTATTGAGGAGCCCTTCAGCCCGCTGCACTGTGGGAGCCCCTTTCTGGGCTGGCTGAGGCCGGAGCCGGCTCCCTCAGCTTGTGGGGAGGTATGGAGTGAGAGCCCCGGAAGGAGAGACGTGGGCGGGAACCCGGGCTGCGCCGCAGAGCTTGTGGGCCAGGAGGACTTCCGGGTGGGTGTGGTATCTGCGGGCCCGCACTTGGAATGGCCGGCCCGCGCAGCCGGCCCAGGCAGTGAGGGGCTTAGCACCCGGTCCAGCAGCTGCAGAGGGTTTTCTGGGTCCCCCAGCAGTGCCGGCAGGCCAGCGTGGAGCTTGAATTCTCGTGGGGCCTCAGCTGCCTCCCTGTGGGGCAGGGCTTGGGACCTGCAGCCAGCCATGCCTGAGCCACCCCACTGCCGTGGGCTCCTGTGCAGCCAGAGCCTCCCTGGCGAGAGCGGCCCCCTGCTCCGCAGTGCCCGTTCCCATTAACCGCCCAAGGGCTGAGGAGTGCAGGTGCAGGGCACAGGACTGGCAGGCAGCTCCCCCTGCAGCCAGGTGTGGGATCCACTAGGTCAAGGCAGCTGGGCTCCTGAGTCTAGTGGGGACTTGGCGAATCTTTATGTCTGGCTAAGGGATTGTAGATACACCAATCAGCACTGTGTGTCTAGCTCAAGGTTTGTAAATGCACCAAGCAGCCCTCTGTGTCTGGCTCCAGGTTTGTGTACGCACAAATCAGCACCCTGTATGTGGCTAATCTGGTGGGGACTTGGCGAACCTTTATGTCTAGCTAAGGGATTGTAAATACACCAATCAGCACTCTGTGTCTAGCTCCAGGTTTGTAAACGCAAGTAAAGGATGGGATGTATAGGAAGGACTTTATGGAGTACAGCTGGAGAATGCTGGAGCTCTTAGCAACAGAGGAAGCTATGGATTAGGTAAACTCTTGCATGATCATCTTACATGATCCCTGGAAGAAAATAGCATGAGTAGGACATCACAACCTGTTCTCATTTCTTTGCTCAGTTAGTAGGTAAAAGTCAAGTCATTATCCATTAAAACTTATCAACTGATGGAACACAATGGGCACCGAAAACAGAGAACACAAAACAAATAAAAAAGATGAAAATAAAATGTGTTGAAGTTTGTAAAATTATGCAGGATTTTAGAAATAAATTGATGTTTGTACTTTATATGTGCATAAATAAATCAATTAAAAGTTTTTCAGTTTTTTTTGAGACAGGGTCTCACTCTGTGCTGATGTCAATTCCCTGGTCGCAGTTATTGTACTTGATAATACATGGGAGGGCATAATCTACTGAAATTACTTAAAATAAGAAACAGAAAAACAAAAGGAAAATCTAAGTTTCCAAATTAGAAGAATGGAAGAAATATTCAGCAAAAAAATTGGAAAATAATTGTTGAGTACTGCTTCAAAAAAGAATAGACAAGAGAAGATACTGTTAATTCAACTAAAAATTGGCACTAGCTCTGTGAAAATTAACTCTGTGCTCATAAATAAATGATAACATCCCCTAGATTCAGACAAGCCAGTATTTAAATGTCAGAGAGTTTAGAAGAAGCCATCAAAACATTGACATGGTGAAGCCTTTCAAATAGAAGAGAAACCAGGAGAATGTGTTGTTCCATAGACCATGTGAGGCAGGTATTTCAAAATGGAAGGATGGGAAACTCATGTGAATTTTTGCTGATTATTCAGTTTCAACCAATGGATTTGATTACAAAGAAGATATTGATGACTGTTACAAGAGAGGTTTAAGTGTAGTGGTGGGAATGAAAAAATGAAATGAGGCAGAAATTGTAGCTAATACATTGGAGTCATTGTATTATAAAATGAGAAGAGAATTGGGAGATTACTAGAAAGAGATTTGGTTCCACAAAAGATTTTTTGAGCTTTTTTTGTTGTTGTTGCTCTTTAAGATGGAAGATGTTTGGTATTTTTGCATATTGGCAGAAATAATTTGAAAAATGGAGAAATTAATGATACAGTTGAGAGGGAATAATTGAAAGAGCAAAATCGTTGCATAGGAAAGAGGGGATCAAATCTGGTAGAGACCATAACAGGATAGGAGTAAGGATCAACATCCAGTGAAACAGGAGACAATGCAGAAAAGTATGTGTGTGAACAGCAGGTAGTTTTCTTCTGATTGCTTCTATATCTAGATGAAAAAAATAAATAAAGTCATTAGCAAAGTACAAGGTGAGGACTGATGGTTAAGGAGGGAGATAATAAAACAGAGGAGGAGAAAGGAAGTGTCAAAATCATTTAGGCCCATGATCATTAATTTAAAGCAAGGCAAGTCAGCACCGTTGCATTTGGTTTTTTTTTTTCAACTTTTCATAATGTAAACCTTTATTTATTTATTTATCTTTATTATTATGCTTTAAGTTCTAGGGTACATGTGCACAATGTGCAAGTTTGCTACATAGGTATAAATGTGCCATGTTGGTTTGCTGCACCCATCAACTCGTCATTTACATTAGGTATTTATCCTAATGCTATCACTCCCCCTGCCCCCCACCCCATGATAGGCCCTGGTGTGTGATGTCCCCCGCCCTGTGTCTAAGTGTTCTCATTGTTCAATTCCCACCTATGAATGAGAACATGCGGTGTTTGGTTTTCTGTCCTTGTGATAGTTTGCTGGGAATGATGGTTTCCAGTTTCATCCATGTCCCTTCAAAGGACATGAACTCATCCTTTTTATGGCTGCATAGTATTCCATGGTGTATATGTGCCACAGTTTCTTAATCCAGTCTACCACTGATGGACATTTGGGCTAGTTCCAAGCCTTTGCAATTGAGAATAGTGCCACGATAAACATACGTGTGCATGTGTCTTTATAGTAGCATGATTTATAATCCCTTGGGTATATATACCCAGTAATGGGATGGCTGGGTCAAATGGTATTTCTAGTTCTAGATCCTTGAGGAATTGCCACACTGTCTTCCACAATGGTTGAACTAATTTACACTCCTAGCAACAGTGTAAAAGTGTTCCTATTTGTCCACATCCTCTCCAGCATTTGGTGTTTCCTGACTTATTAATGGTCGCCATTCTAAATGGTGTGAGATGGTATCTCATTGCCGTTTTGATTTGCATTTCTCTGATGACCAGTGATGATGAGCATTTTTTCATGTGTCTGTTGGCTGAATAAATATCTTCTTTTGAGAAGAGTCTGTTCTTATCCTTTGCCCACTTTTTGATGGGTTTGTTTTTTTCTTCTAAATTTGTTAAGTTCTTTGTAGATTCTGGCTATCAGCCGTTTATCAGATGGGTAGATTGCAAAAAATTTTCTCCCATTCTGTAGGTTGCCCGTTCACCCTGATGGTAGTTTCTTTTGCTGTGCACAAGTTCTTTAGTGTAATTAGATCCCATTTGTCTATTTTGGCTTTTGTTGCCATTGCTTTTGGTGTTTTAGTGATGAAGTCCTTGCCCGTGCCTATGTCCTGAATGGTATGGCTTAGGTTTTCTTTTTGGGTTTTTATGGTTTTGGGTCTAACATTTAAGTCTTTAATCCATCTTGAATTAATTTTTGTATAAGGTGTAAGGAAGGGATCCAGTTTCAGCTTTCTATATATGGCTAGCCAGTTTTCCCAACACCATTTAAGAAATAGGAAATCCTTTCTCCATTTCTTGTTTTTCTCAGGTTTGTCAAAGATCAGATGGTTGTAGATGTGTGGTGTTATTTCTGAGGCCTCTGTTCTGGTCCATTGGTCTATATCTCTGTTTTGGTACCGGTACCATGCTGTACCATGCTGTTTTGGTTACTGTAGCATAGTTTGAAGTCAGGTAGCGTGAAGCTTCCAGCTTTGTTCTTTTTGCTTAGGATTGCTTTGGTAATGAGGGCTCTTTTTTGGTTCCATATGAACTTTAAAGTAGTTTTGTCCAATTCTGTGAAGAAAGACATTGGTAGCTTGATGGGAATGGCATTGAATCTATAAATCACCTTGGGCAGTATGGCCATTTTCACAATATTGATTCTTCCTATCCATGAGCATGAAATGTTCTTCCATTTGTTTGTGTCCTTTTTTATTTCGTTGAGCAGTGGATCATAGTTCTCCATGAAGAGGTCCTTCACATCCCTTGTAAGTTGGATTCCTAGGTATTTTATTCTCCTTGTAGCAATTGTGAGTGAGAGTTCACTCATGATTTGGCTTTCTGCTTGTCTGTTATTGGTGTGTAGGAAAGCTGGTGATTTTTGCACATTGACTTTGTATCCTGAGACTTTGCTGAAGTTGCTTACCAGCCTAAGGAGATTTTGGGCTGAGACGATGGGGTTTTCTAAATATACAATCATGTCATCTGCAAACAGAGACAATTTGACTTCCTCTTTTCCTAATTGAATACCCTTTGTTTCTTTCTCTTGACGGAAATCCCTGGCCAGAACTTCCAAAACTATGTTGAATAGGAGTGGTGAGAGAGGACATCCCTGTCGTGTGTCAGTTTTCAAAGGTAATGCTTCCAGTTTTTGCCCATTTAGAATGATATTCGCTGAGGATTTGTCATAAATAGCTCTTATTATTTTGAGATGTATTCCATCAATACCTAGTTCCCTGAGAGTTTTTAGCATGAAGGCTGTTGAATTTTGTTGAAGGCCTTTTCTGCATCTATTGAGATAATCATGTGGTTTTTGTCTTTGGTTCTGTTTATGTGGTGAAGTATGTTTATTGATTTGCATATGTTTAACCAGCCTTGCATCCTAGAGATGAGGCCGACTTGATCGTGGTGGATAAGCTTTTTGATGTGCTGCTGGATTCCGTTTGCCAGTATTTTATTGAGGATTTTTGCATCAATGTTCATCAGGGATATTGGTCTAAAATTCTATTTTTTTGTTGCGTCTCTGCCAGGTTTTGGTGTCAGGGTGATGTTGACCTCATAAAATGAGTTAGGGAGGAGTCCCGCTTTTTCTATTGATTGGAATAGTTTCAGAAGGAATGGTACCAGCTCCTCTTTGTACCTTTGGTAGAATTCAGCTGTAAATCCATCTGCTCCTGGACTTTTTTTGGTTGGTAGGACATTAATTATTGCCTCAATTTCAGAACCTGTTATTGGTCTATTCAGACATTCAAATTCTTCCTGGTTTAGTCTTGGGAGGATGTATGTGTTCAGGAATTTATCCATTTCTTCTAGATTGTCTAGTTTATTTGCGTAGAGGTGTTTATAGTATTCTCTGATGGTAGTTTGTATTTCTGTGGGATCGGTGGTGATATCCCCTTTATCATTTTTTATTGCGTCTATTTGATTCCTTTCTCTTTTCTTCTTTATTAGTATTGCTAGGGGTATGTTAATTTTGTTGATTCTTTCAAAAAACCAGTTCCTGGATTCCTTGATTTTTTGAAGGGTTTTTTGTGTGTCTATGTCCTTCAGTTCTGCTCTGATCTTAGTTATTTCTTGCCTTCTGCTAGCTTTTGAATTTGTTTGCTCTTGCTTGTCTACTTCTTTTAATTGTGAGGTTAAGGTGTCGATTTTAGATCTTTCCTGCTTTCTCTTGTGGGCATTTGATGCTATAAATTTCCCTCTCTATACTGCTTTAAATGTGTCCCAGAGATTCTGGTAAGTTGTGTCTTTGTTCTTCTTGGTTTCAAAGAACGTATTTATTTCTGCCTTCATTTCATTATTTGCCCAGTAGTCATTCAGGAGCAGGTTGTTCAGTTTCCTTGTAGTTGTGTGGTTTTGAGTGAGTTTCTTAATCCTGAGTTCTAATTTGATTGCACTGTGGTCTGAGAGACAGTTTGTTGTGATTTCTGTTCTTTTACGTTTGCTGAGGAGTGCTTTACTTCCAACTATGTGGTCAATTTTAGAATAAGTACGATGTGGTGCTGAGAAGAATGTATATTCTGTTGATTTGGGGTGGAGAGTTCTGTAGATTTCTATTAGGTCTGCTTGGTGTAGAGCTGAGTTCAAGTCCTGGATATCCTTCTCAACCATCTATCTCATTAATCTGTCTGATATTGACAGTGGGGTGTTAAAATCTCCCATTATTATTGTGTGGGAGTCTAAGCCTCTTTGTAGGTCTCTAAGGACTTGCTTAGAATCTGGGTGCTCCTGTATTGGGTGCATATATATTTAGGATAGTTAGCTCTTCTTGTTGAATTGATCCCTTTGCCATTATGTAATAGCCTTCTTTGTCTCTTTTGATCTTTGTTGGTTGAAAGTCTGTTTTATCAGAGACTAGGATTGCAACCCCTGCTTTTTTTTTGCTCTCCATTTGCTTGGTAGATATTCCTCCATCCTTTTATTCTGAGCCATGTGTGTCTCTGCACGTGAGATGGGTCTCCTGAATACAGCACGCTGATGGGTCTTGACTCTTTATCCAATTTGCCAGTCTGTGTCTTTTAATTGGGGCATTTAGCCCATTTACCTTTTAGGTTAATATTGTTATGTATGAATTTGATCCTGTCATTATGATGTTAGCTGGTTATTTTGCCCATTAATTGATGCAGTTTCTTCATAGCATCAATGGTCTTTACAATTTGGCATGTTTTTGCAGTGGCTGGTGTCAGTTGTTCCTTTCCATGTTTAGTGCTTCCTTCAGGAGCACTTGTAAGGCAGGCCTGGTGGTGACAAAATCTCTCAGCATTTGCTTGTCTGTAAAGGATTTTATTTCTCCTTCACTTATGAAGCTTAGTTTGGCTGGATATGAAATTCTGGGTTGAAAATTCTTTTAAGATTGTTGCGTATTGGCCCCCACTGTCTTCTGGCTTATAGATTTTCTGCTGAGAGATCCGCTGTTAGTCTGATGGGCTTCCCCTTGTGGGTAACCTGGCCTTTCTCTCTGGCTGCCCTTAACATTTTTTCCTTCATTTCACCCTTAGTGAATCTGACAGTTATGTGTCTTAGGGTTGCTCTTCTCAAGGAGTATCTTTGTGATGTTCTCTGTATTTCCTGAATTTGAATGTTGGCCTGCCATGCTAGGTTGGAGAAGTTCTCCTGGATGATATCCTGAAGAGTATTTTCCAACTTGGTTCCATTCTCCCCGTCACTTTCAGGTACACCAATCAAACGTAGATTTTGTCTTTTCACATAGTCCCATATTTCTTGGAGGCTTTGTTCATTCATTTTTACTCTTTTTTCTCTAAACTTCTCTTCTCACTTTATTTCATTAATTTGATCTTCAATCACTGATATCCTTTCTTCCACTTGATTGCATCAGCTATTGAAGCTTGTGCATGTGTCACGAAGTTCTCGTGCCATGGTGTTTAGCTCCATCAGGTCATTTAAGGTCTTCTCTATGCTGTTTATTCTAGTTAGCCATTCATCTAATCTTTTCTGAAGATTTTTAGCTTCCTTGCAATGGGCTCAAACATCCTCCTTTAGCTCGGAGAAGTTTGTTATTATTGACCTTCTGAAGCCTACTTCTGTCAACTCGTCAAAGTCATTTTCTGTCCAGCTTTGTCCCACGATCTTTGGAGGAGAAGAGGTGCTCTGGTTTTTCAAATTTTCAGCTTTTCTGCTCTAGTTTCTCCCCATCTTTGTGGTTTTTATCTACCTTTGGTCTTTGATGTTGGTGACCTACAGATGGGGTTTTGGTGTGGATGTCCTTTTTGTTGTTGTTGATGCTATTCCTTTCTGTTTGTTAGTTTTCCTTCTAACAGTCAGATCCCTCAGCTGCAGGTCTGTTGGATTTTGCTGGAGGTCCACTCCAGACCCTGTTTGCCTGGGTATCACCAGCAGAGGCTGCAGAATAGCAAATATTGCAGAACAGCAAATATTGCTGCCTGATCCTTCCTCTGGAAGCTTTGTCCCAGAGGGGCACTCACCTGTATGAAGTGTAAGTTGTCCCCTACTGGAAGGTTGTCTCCCAGTTAGGCTACATGGGGGTCAGGGACCCACTTGAGAAGGCAGTCTGTCTGTTCTCAGAGCTCAAATGCCATGCTGGGAGAATCACCTCTCTCTTCAGAGCTGTCAGACAGGGACATTTAAAGTCTGCAGAAGTTTCTGCTCCCTTTTGTTTAGCTATGCCCTGCCCCCAGAGGTGGGGTCTACAGAGGCAGCAGGCCTAGCTGTGCTGCAGTGGGCTCCACCCAGTTCAAGCTTCCAGGCCACTTTGTTTACCTACTCAAGCCTCAGCAATAGCGAATGCCCCTCCCCCCACCAGGCTGTTGCCTCACAGGTTGATCTCAGACTGCTGCACTAGCAGTCAGCAAGGCTCCGTGGGTGTGGGACCCGCCGAGCCAGGAGCAGGAGAGTGTCTCCTGGTCTGTCGTTTACTAAGACCCTCGGAAAAGTGCAGTATTTGGGCAGGAATGTCCCATTTTTCCCAGGTGCAGTCTGCCATGGCTTCCCTTGGCTAGGAAAGGGAAATCCCCTGACCCCTTGCACTTCCAGGGTGAGGTGATGCCCCGCCCAGTTTCGGCTCCCCCTCCATGTGCTGCACCCACTGTCCAACCAGTCCCAGTGAGATGAACCAGGTACCTCAGTTGGAAATGCAGAAATCTCCCATCTTCTGCAGCTGGGAGCTGCAGACCAGAGCTGTTCCTATTCAGCCATCTTGGAGCGGTGACCGCATTTGTTTTTCTTGTAGACACACTCTGCTGCTTCAGTTCAGAGACAGGGCAGGCAGAGAATTTATTTGCAAAGGATTGAGGTTTTCTAAGACTTGGATTACAGAAAGAAAGAAAGGAATGGGCAGGAGAGTGTGTGCAAGGGATTGACTTACAGGGATGAACCATTGAATCTAATTTGGGTATGGTGGGAAGAGAGAAAGTGAAGGGAAAAGAATAGTGAAAAAGCATCAGTGTCATTGAATGATTGGAACAAATTTAGTAGAGTAAGTGAGCTAAAAAGATTGTGGAAATGGTCTAGAGTGTGACACCTAATATTTAGATAATTTAGGTAGTTTAATTGGAAATGATAAGGTTTAGATAGACTAGATTCAATAGTGGAGACTACTAATAGCTCACAGAGACTTCTCTGGTTTCTTGACTGAACATAGCTATATGCATTCCCATTGATTTCTGAACCACCATCAGTAAGTTTCATCTTAGTGGAAGTCCTTAGGCTGTCCCTTTCTCCAAATTTTGCCATTAAATTTTTGGCTGACTGGCCACTTTGTTGCTTGCCCCAGCTAATATCTTCTACACATATTAATCTTCTCTACTTGCTTCCCACTGTAACCTCTTTATATTCAACAGGATCCTTGGGCAGGGAATTTTCCACGCTATAAAGTCACTCCCCTCCAGTGGGGCAGCAGAGCTTCCAGTCCTCACAGCCTGCTTGCCTACCCAGGGTTCAACTTCTGAGCCACAGAACTGGGCTGTGAGACAAAGGTGGATAAAAGCAGCCACTCTTTTTTACTGAGATTTATGTGGACTTTCTGGAATAAATATTTCCCAACAGTATGCTCTTTGGCCAATTTCTAGAGATTATTTTTATAATTTTATCCAGTTTTATTGCTGCCTTTTGGTGGTGAGTGAATATACCAAGACCCAGAAATACCCATTCTCAAAGTCCCATCGGAACAAAATTATTCTGAAGTAAAATTGGTTCAACAATTTTGGGAACCATTACATACCAAAAATTATTCTTGATTTGACTTTTTATAGTCTACAAAATATGAAAACTATTAAGAAGTTACCTCATTCTTTTTTTTTTTTTTTTTGAGATGGAGTCTCGCTCTGTCACCCTGGCTGGAGGGGAGTGGTGCGATCTCAGCTCACTGTGAACTCCGCCTCCCGAGTTCACGCCATTCTCCTGCCTCAGCCTCCCAAGTAGCTGGGACTACAGGCACCTACCACCACGCCCAGCTAATTTTTGTATTTTCAGTAGAGATGGGGTTTCACCAGGTTAGCCAGGATGGTCTGAAGTTACCTCATTCTTAATACCAGTTTTAAGTGGAATTTATAACTAGAACAGTGATGCTGTTATGTTAAGATGAGGACTGATCACCTTCACTTGCTTGCCTACTGATGTAGCTGAACTCTTGGCTAGAAAAAAGAAGGGGCTTCCTCTTTCCTCTTCAATGGCCCATTTCTGAATATTCCAAACTCAGAGACTCAGGGACCACAACAAGGAAATTGAACAGCTTTTATTTTGCTCAAGTTAATATTACATGATAAACTCAGAGTATTATTGTGAAAACACTGATTAGACACTATTTGCTTATTTTGCACAACCCTCCATGAACTTTGATGTTTACCACAAAGGACTTTACTAAACTAGCTTCCAGTTAGTACACTGAAATTCAAAGTCATGCTCATAACTGTTAATGAAAGCAGATTCAAAGCAACACCACCACCACTGAAGTATTTTTAGTTATATAAGATTGGAACTACCAAGCATGTGGCTCCTGGTCAGTGTAATTCTAATCTCACGGATATCCTCTGTTGGGGGAGAAGGTAAGTTCAAAACAGACCTGAATATTTAGTTCCTTTTTCAGATACATTTATCGGTTTTTGTGTGTATGCTTACATATTTTTAAATGAATAAATGGATGAAAATATTTTAAATGAGTTATAATATTAATGTATTTTATGGAAATACTTTCTAACATGCAATTAGCAGGAAAATAGAATAAAATTAGTTATCTCCATCCTCTAAGTTGCAAAGGTAAATGGCCACCAAATAGAGAATGTAAAGAGGAATTAAATGAGGGAAAACCTGCTATACTAACGGTGGCAAGGTGAAGTATTAGTGTAATTCTGCATACACTCTGCAATGCCACTAACTAGAACAATCAATCTCAAAAAGATTTGGCCACCTTCAAAATGCTTTTTGGATTTTAGTTTCCTAGATTTGATCATTTAAATTTTAAAGGTCATTAAAATGGAGGAATTCCCATTTCAATCGAATTATCCTTCAACAGAGGGAAATATATTTTACTGAAACAATAGAAAATATCATTTATATATAAACCAGTGAACTGTCAAGAAATTGCTTCTTCTGAGCTCTTAAATGTTGAGAATGAAGTAATGTATCACCTCTTTATTAATACTACAAACGGCTTCTTATGATATTTTATAAATGGTCCCATTTTATTTCATGTTGAAATTAAGGCCACCATATCAAAGGAATTGCAAACAAAATCTCTACCAAGGTCTAGGATACTAATTAAACTATGTCTGTACTTGGAGTTTCGATCATTATGCTTTACCCTTTGATTTCCAAAAAGTTTTTACTTTACTGTTTTGCTGTTTCCTAATGTTTCCAGACCTTTGAACTTTTATTTGAACAGTTTCTCATCAGTCCTGACATAACAGAACAACATGAACAATAACATGCTTTCCTTTAAATATTTGCCCTTAGAAATGTTGCAAAATATTATTTCTATTGCTTGAAATTCATTTTTTTTTTGAGATGGACTTTCACTCTTGTTTCCCAGGCTGGAGTGCAATGGTGTGATTTCGGCTCACCACAACTTCCATCTCCTGGGTTCAAGCAATTCTCCTGCGTCAGCCTCCCAAGTGGCTAGGATTACAGGCATGCACCACCACGCCTGGCTAATTTTGTATTTTTAGTAGAGATGGGGTTTCTCCATGTTGGTCAGGCTGGTCTCGAACTCCCGACCTCAGGTGATCTGCCTGCCTCGGCCTCCCACAGTGTTGGGATTGCAGGCATAAGCCACCACGCCTGGCCCTTGAAATTCGTTTTATTTTGTTTTCACTTTTAGTGCTGAGTTGTAATCACAGGAGTGCGATTGTATGAGTGTATTTGATTTTTCTTAAGTCTGTGTTTATGGTATTTATTAAGTGGCTTATACACCTATTACACATGGCATTACATGAGGATTTCTAAATAGGGGGGTAGCAGAGGAAAATAAGTGAAAAATATGAGAGAAATATGTAGAATTTTGACAATTCCTAACCCTCCTCCCACCAAAAAAAAGTTCAAGCTTCAATCCAGTCTCTGGGAGAAACTTCAGTGAAATTCTATCTAAAGGTTGCCTAGATGTTAAATGATCTGTAAGTGTGTGTTACACTGTCATTTAGGTGTCTACTGAGAGACCTGCCAAACAGCAAAAACAACACACTGAAGCAACACATTTGTATACATAGAAAGCTGCATGCTTCCAGTAGCAAAATATTTATCAAGCACTATGTTGTGCTTCATGTAGCAAAGAAGCTGGAAGAAAATGACAACCCTAACCACACCTCACTGCAACTTACAGTGTCCTAAAGAAAAGCAAAATGTAAATATGCAAATAAATTGCAAGGCTATATATAGGTGACTGTGAGTGAGTGTGTGTGTGTGTGTGTGTGTGTGTATAAACAGTCATGCATCACTTAATGATAGGGACACGTTCTGAGAAGTGCGTCCTTAGGCGATTTCCTTCTTATTCAAACATTATAGAGTGGACTTACACAAACCTAGGTTTTATAGCCTACTAGGTAACTAGGCCATATGGTATAGCCTGTCGCTCCTAGGCTGCAAACCTGTACAGCATGTTACTGTACTGAATACTGTGGGCAACTGTAGCACAATTGTAAGTATATGTTTATCTCAATATAGCAAAGTACAATAAAAATACAGTATAAAATATTAAAAACGGCAGACTTGTATAGGGCTTTTACCATGAATAGGGTGTGTAGGACTGAAAGTTGCTCTCAGTAAGTCATTACATGAGTGGTGAGTGAATGTGATGGCTTAGAACATCACCATACACGACTAGAGGTGGTATAAACACTGTATACTTAGGCTAAACTAATTTATTTTATTTATTTATTTACTTCAATAGTTTTGGGGGAGCAGGTGGTTTTTGGTTACATGGATAAGTTCTTCAGTGCTAATTACTGAGCTTTTGATGCACCCAGGATAGACTAAATTTATTTTAAACTTTTCTTCGATAATAAATTAACCTTAGTTTATGTTGACCTTTTTACTTCATCAACTTTAATTTTTATGTCTTTCGAGATAATATTTAGCTTAAAAAACATTGTAGAGATGTACAAAAGATTTTTTCTTTCTGTTCTTGTGCTATAAGCTTTTATCTTTTAAATATTTTACTTATTTATTTACTTTTTAAACCTTTTTGTTAAAAACAGACACAAACACACATATTAACCTCAGCCTACAAAGGGTTAGGATCATCAGTATCACTGTCTTCTTCCTCCGCTCTTGTCCCACTAGAAGATCTTCAGGGCAGTAACAGGCATGGAGCTGTCCTCTCCTATGATAACAAAGGTTTCTTCTGGAATAGTTCCTGAAGGATCTGCCTCAGGAAACATTAACCGTTTTACAGTTAATTTTTTTAACCAGTAGAAGAAGTTAACTATAAAATACTGATAACAATTATACTATATGAAATACATTAACCAGTAACACTTCTATATTGTCATCATCAAGTATTATGTACTGTACAAAATTGTGTGTGGCATATTTTTATGTGACTGGCAATGCTGTAGGTTTATTTACACCGGCATTGCCACAAACATGTGAGTAATATATTACACTGCTATGTTATGATGGCTATTAGGTGATAGGAATTTTTCAGCTACACTATAATCTTATGGGTCCACTGTCACATGAGCGATCAGTCATTGACCAAAATGTCATTATGTGGTGAATATCTGTACAACTGTATATATGTATGTGTGTGTGTGTGTGTGTGTGTGTATCCCAGAAGAAATATATTCATAATATTCTATCAGAATGTTGAGACAAGAAAAATTATTTTCTACTTTTGAAGTGGGTGGTTGTGTAAAGGAGGCTTGCAAGAAGACATTAACACTCCTAGCTAGCACCATTGCAGATATGCACAATGAATACTTGATGAATGTCATAGAGTTAATTCTGAAGCATAGGTACAATATAACTGGGTGATGAAAACCAAGTTATTCTGGATAGCAAAGAATATGTAAGTACAAATGTATGAAAATAAACTACTATAATTTTGGAGGAGTGAAGGATAACTAAAAGAGTTATGGTAGGTTAATACTATCAAGATGGGAGTCTTTCCCTCAATACCTTTACCAAAACTATCTAATGTCAAATTTTAAACAGTTAGATAATCAGTTTCACGTTTCACAAAGTGAAAATATTTCAAATATTGTGCAACATTAAACATTACTTCTAGACAGATGAAAAAGAGAAATTTCTGTTGATTTGTCAGCTTAATTTCTGCACACATCTTCCAAATAAGGTGAAAAATAAAATTATTTCTTATGCAACAGTACTATATTGCAACAATATCTTGACATAAAAACAAAGAGCAGTATTATATGAGGAACTATCTTGAGCTAAATACATACTCAAAGATAAAGTATATCAAACCCATGGAATGTACAACATCAAGAGTGAACCCCAACATAAACTATGAACTTTGGGTGATAATTATATTGACGGTGAGGGAGGTTATGCATGTGGTAGGGAAGAGGAAGTGGTATATAGAAATCTCTACCTTCCACTCAATTTTGCTGTGAAAAACTTGTTAATAAAATATAAAGTCTTATAAAAATATGTGTGTATATATATGAATGTGTACACAAAGAAAGAGTCAAAAAGTATGAAGATTTCACCCATTTTCTACATTGTTTTAATTTTTCCTGCACCATCGTGTATATGGATGTATATATACATATATACACTAGTCCTTTAGTATCCTCAAGGAATTGGTTCCAGGACTCTACCCACCCCCAGTAGATACCAAAATCCAAGGATATGCAAGTCTCTAAGACAGAATGATGTAGTATTTGTATATAACCTGTGTATATCCTCCCAAACAATTTATTTTATTTTATTTTAATTTTTTTTGAGGTAGAGTCTTGCTCTGTCGCCCCCAGGATGGTGTTTAGTGGCATGATCTCGGCTCACTGCAACATACCCCTCCTGGGTTCAAGTGATTCTTCTGCCTCAGCCTCCCAAGTAGCTGGGATTACAGGTGTGCACCACCACACCTGGCTAATTTTTGTATTTTTAGTAGAGATGGGCTTTCGCCATGTTGGCCAGGCTGGTCTCAAACTCCTGACCTCAAGTGATCCACCTACCTCAGCCTCCCAAAGTGCTGGGATTACAGGTATGAGCTACCACACCCAACCCTCTCATACAATTTAAAGAATCTCTAGATTATTTATAATACCTAATACAATGTAAATGCTATACAAATAGTTGTTATATTGTATTTTTAATTGCATTATTTTTATTGTTTTATTGTCTTTTTATTGTTTTTTTCCGAATATTTTTGATCTGCAGTTGGTTGAATCAGAGGATGTGAAACCAGTGGGGCTGACCATATATATATGTGTGTATACAAGTATAAATATATAAATACAAATATACAATACATATTTGTATATACAACATTAACCAGAATTTAGCTCTAACTTTATCTTGAGTTGTTCTTAGTGATTTTCTTATATTCTCTCAATTATTTCCACTGAAACTATATTAACTTTGTAACCAGAAAGTATTCAAAATGATATTAATAAACAAACAACAAAACTAACTACCCAACATCTTTTCTGCACCAGAAAAAAAATAGGACAGAGTTTCTGGTGGAGATACCTATGACAGTCAATGAGAATAGAGAAAATAAGTAAATTGAGAGCTAAGAACAACCCTGTCACTCCTCTACTGTATACTAAGTAGATCAGGAAGATTTGCTAGTCTTACACTCTGCCTTCATTCTTAAATTGTTGTGTGAGGGTTTTCTTCTTGAAGACATTGCAGGAGAGTTCATATTTCATATCACTCCAAAATATAGATTTTATATTCATTAACAATTACCTCCTCAAATACTCGTGTACTCTTAGTTAGTGATGTCTTTTCATTCCTAATTTGGACACTGGAGAGCATTTAAGCTAAAGGCATTTAAGCTAAATGAAAGAAAAAAACTAAATGAGATGATTAAAATATAGTCTAGTGATTTATTTATGTAGCTTATTATGTAATTCTTCAGTTTTGTGTTATTTTCCCAGCAATGTTCTGTGATTTTCCAAAAATAAACCATGGAATTCTATATGATGAAGAAAAATATAAGCCATTTTCCCAAGTTCCTACAGGGGAAGTTTTCTATTACTCCTGTGAATATAATTTTGTGTCTCCTTCAAAATCCTTTTGGACTCGCATAACGTGCGCAGAAGAAGGATGGTCACCAACACCAAAGTGTCTCAGTGAGTAAATGCCCTGTTCATTAAATGGATGTCATTCAATGAACAGAGAAGGATATGCCAGACAAGATCATAAACACTTGATAATCACAGGAGCAGTGACCAGAGGAGCTGGAAAGATGGGAGATGTAGTCCTTCTATTTTGAGATGGCTCCTATGAGAATCAATGAAGAATAAATATGTCAACTGTCTTGCATTACCCGGAAATTCTCTACATGTTGAAATATATCAATTTTTTTAAACTGATGATTAATATATTTGACTGCTAATATTTCTTTACTAATATTCATTTGGCAGCAGCCTGATCATAGTTTTCCTTTTAAATGTCATTTTATACATATTCTGTTTTGAATTTAACATTCTTTTGCATATTACAAGGAGGTTTAGCATTTTCACTTTTATATTTCAATAAATAATTTCTTTGGTCCTTCAAAGTGTAGCTATATTAACCCTCCAATAAATGTAGAGAGCAGACTCCAATGATAACAGGTATATTAAAAGAGAAAACAACTGGGAGACAGATAGATGAGGCAACAAAGGAGATAGCAATGATCTTTCTCCTAAGAAACATTTATGAGAGTTAAGAGAGAAATAGATATATGTAGATGTTCTTTTGTCCCTAAAAGAGTTGATAAACATAAAATATTTTATTATAAAAAACATAGAGTAACAACATGAAATATTTTCTTCTATATGTACATATAAAGGAACCAAAAATATATTTCATCATATATATAGTAGCAAGACTTAACTTCTTTTGAAAATGTTTATATTTGATTTCAGCTTTGAAAGCTTTCCTTTTTGGTTTTTTGTTTGTTTGTTTTGTTTTGTTTTGTTTTGTTTTTGAGACAGAGTCTCATTCTGTCACCCAGGCTGAAGTGCAGTGGTGCCATCTCGACTCACTGCTACCTCTGCCTTCTGGGTTCAAGTGATTCTCCTGTCTCAGCCTCCAGAGTAGCTGGAATTACAAGTGCACACCACTATGCCCGCTAATTTTTGTATTTTTAGTAGAAACAGGGTTTCACCATGTTGACCAGGCTGGCCTCGAACTCATGGCCTCAAATGATCCACTCACCTCAGCCTCCCAAAGTGCAGGGATTACCAGCTTGAGCCACTTCACCCTATTTATTAAAATATTTTAAAATGCAGTTGTACTTTTTCTTTGCTACTTCCATCTTGTCTATTAATCTGTTTTTGGTCTTTAGGACTGTGTTTCTTTCCTTTTGTGGAAAATGGTCATTCTGAATCTTCAGGACAAACACATCTGGAAGGTGATACTGTACAAATTATTTGCAACACAGGATACAGACTTCAAAACAATGAGAACAACATTTCATGTGTAGAACGGGGCTGGTCCACTCCTCCCAAATGCAGGTCCACTAGTAAGTGCAATGTTGTTCTCTCAGATGCTGTTATATTATAAAGTGTAAAAGAAATAAATCTTTTTTTACAGATTAAATATAGGTTAAATATAGGTTTTGCCACATACTTCTATCATTATTCATTTGATTCTCAGTTCCAAATGTGTCTAAGTGGATGTGCAATAATATAGTTTGCCTACCTATATAAATCAAATATATGTGATAAGTAAAAATATTAGACAAGAATACACCTTGAAGATAATCCCTTGAAGTTTAAGTAATACCTGTGTGTGGTTTATAGTATCGGGTTAGTTGACAAGAAATGGTTACAAAACTGATGTATTGAAGTGAAAATAAGTCCAATTCTAGTTAAAATGTCTTATAAGTAAGACAGCATTTAATATTTATCTTTATTTAAATTCATATGCTCTATTCAATAAATCATCAATTCTTAAGTTTTAGAAAGTCCATACTTCTGAGAGGTATGTTTATTTGTGAGTAGCTTAGCATTTGGAAAACGATTCTTTTGGAAACCTGTGGTATAAATGATGGCACCTCCCAGTCCTGTGTGAACTCTTGCAATTCTTCGTCTTTATAGCTCCTCAGTAATTGTTTTTTGCCCAGCCCAATAAGATTCCGTCCTATGCTTGCACAGCTCTGTATTCAACTAAAAACAAAAGGAGCCCGATGGAAACTTCTATAGCTCTTTCTCTTCATACCACTTTCTCTCTGCTACTATGCCCAGTAACTTCTGGCCACCATAGTCTCCAAGACTGACATTATTAGTCTCAACTAAAGAAGACCATTGAGTTCTTGCTGGGTTCTCCCTCACAGCACAGAGTCTAGAAAAGGCCTGTCAGCAAACAGATGGGGCTGTGTGCTGTGGTAGTTTGGGGTTTCAAGTTTTTTTCATTTTCTTAGTCATCACGGTCATGTGCTGGGTGATTTCCAGTGTTCTTGAAATATATTTTGTACAGTTTTCTAATTTTTTTCCAGTGGGAGGTTATGTTGATACCAGCTATTCCATCCAATAGGAAATAGAATCCGTGGTATGCCTTTCAAAAGATGTTATGTTATCAAATATTATTCCACACCTTTAATTCTTAATTTTAAACCTCTAGAGCAGGGCACAGTGGTGTGTGCCTCTAGTCTCAGCCACTGGTAAGTCTGAAGTAGGAGGATCACTTGAGCCCAGGTGTTCAAGGCTGCAGTGAGCTATGACTGCACCAGTGCACTTCAACCTGGGCAACAGAGTGAGACCCTGTCTTCACTAAATTTACACTTCTAGAAAATTGAGTCTTCTTAAAACAGCTGAAACTGTGACAGTTTTTCAGTAAACAGTTAAGTCATAGCCTCTTTCTATTACTAGGGGATTAAACATTATTAATATTTGCAAAAAACAAAAAAAAAGAACAAATGTTATGAATACCAGAAAATTGCAGTGATTGAATAGGGTTTAGGATTTATAGCCTTCAGTGATGGCATAAATATTTCCATGCTCTATGTCATGAACAAGCTCTCTTCATTTCGTGGGATGATGGCTATTGTCAGCCCAACAATTATAATTTAGAAGCTTGACAAATTAAGTTTGACCAGCTGTATCCCATACAAGCTGGCTCTTGTGTACAGTCTGTAAGACTTTGTTAGGCTTTGATTAAGTCTGTTGCTTTGTGACACAAAAAATATCCCGGGTTTAATTCATGTTTTCCCTGTCTGAGAACTAGAATCAACCATACCTCCAATAAGTTCTGGTTCCATTCAGTGGGTAATGACATTTAGAAACTAAGTTGCCAAAATAAACTTGCTTCAAAACTTAGCACATTTTATTTAAGCTGACAAAGAACACATCTTTTTGTTCAAGTTCTCACAATATTGCTACCTTTCCCTCTTTGCCTGTCCCTTATTCCAAAAGCATAAGGCAACATATTGAGGTTATCAGAGTAGATGGAGGAAGTCAGAATCTCCAAAGTGGAAGAATTTAGCGGAACACTCTATGTCCAAGGTTGAATGGTAGCTCAAGAACGCTGTGGAGAGTTAATAAAGTTTCAGGGCAACTAGACTCCTAATGATAGCTGCACAGTCTGTTTTTTCATGTAAGGTAACATTTTGCAAGTTATGGTAATCCATGTTGCAGGGATTAGTACAGTGCAATCTCTGGGGGCTGTTATTCCGTTTACAACACCATGCAATAACCTTATATGAATAAAGCAGCTGGGAAACCCTACATCAGCCAAGATTATTTATTTATTTATTTATTTATTTATTTATTTACTTACTTATTTACTTATTTATTTTTTGAGACAGAGTCTCACTGTGTTGCCCAGGCTGGAGTACAATGGTGGGATCTTGGCTCCCTGCAAATTCTACCTTCAAAGTTCAAGCAATTCTTGTGCCTCAGCCTCCTGAGTAGTTGGGATTACAGGCATGTGTCACCACACCCAGCTAATTTTTGTATTCTTAGTAGAGCCAGGGTTTCACCAAATTGGCCAGGCTGGTCTCCAACTCCCAACCTCAGGCGATCCACCAACCTTGGTATCCCAAAGTGCTGACGTAACAGTCATGAGCCACTGTACCCAGACAGATCAATTGTTTTCAATGGCATTTTGTTTTTACAATTAGATTTTTTAAAAGATGATAATCAATAAAGAATTGCCATCCAAATATTGGAATAAAATACAGAGATTTAGGGATACAAGTTTTATATAAGTGAAATGAGTCATATTCTAGTGGGATTTGCTTGAGTAAACTGCAATCAAACCATTAAAGTGCCTATAACAGTACATAAAACTAGTTACTTTAAATATTTATGAGATTATTAGAAAATATTTCAATTTTTTGTGTATACTTGATTTATTTGGATTATTTACTTTGTCTTGAATGTCAATTATGTAGTTTACATAAGAATTAATATATACTTTTATGAACTAACCATTAATGAAAGATGATTAAATAAGAAAAATAAACACATATTCATTTACATAACTATTTCTAATTGAATCAGAAGATATTCATAATGAGTTAGTTTTTATAAACATACTAGTGATGGAGTTGAGAATAATGGAAAGGTTCAAAAAACCTAGAAGATGGGTTTTTTAAAAAGTCTTTGATATTTAGTTACCCATTTGGTAAAATTGGGAATAATTTGCTTTATAATTTCCCTCCAACTTTCTGCCCATATGGGCGAAATTGGCCAAAAGAAAGGGGCTACAGTCCCCACACAAGTTCAAAACCCAGCAGGGCACTCCTTAAATCTTAAATCTCCATAAAAGGTCTCATTTGACTCCTCGTCTCACATCCAGGACACACTGATGCAAGGGGTAGGCTTCCAAGGCCTTGGGTAGCTCCACTTCTGTGGCTTTGCAGGGTTCAGCCCCCAGGGCTGCTCTCATGGGCTAGCATTGAGTGCCTGCAGCCTTTCCAGGTGCATAGTACAAGCTGTTGGTGTATCTACCATTCTGTGGTCTGGAGGAGAGTAGCCCCCTACTCATAGCTCCACTAGGCAGTGCCTCAGTGGTGACTCTGTGTGGGGGTTCCAACCCTACATTTCCCTTCCACTCTGCCCTAGCAGAGGTTCTCCATGAACCTGCAGACTCCACCCCTGCAGACTTCTGCCTGAACATGCAGAAGTTTCCATACAACCTCAGAAATCCAGGAAGAGGTTCCCACCTGGAACCAAAAAAAAACCTCAAATCTTGTCTTCTGTGCACCCACAGGCACAACACCATGTGGAAGCTGCCAAAGTTCGAGGTTTGCACCTTCTGAAAAAATGACCTGAGCTATATGTTGGCCCCATTTAGCCACGGCTGGAGCTGGAGCAGCTAGGACTCAGCAGGGTACCAGGTCGTGAGGCTGCACACAGCAGCAGGGCCCAGGCCCATGAAAATATTTTTCCCTGCTAGGCCTTTGGGCCTGTGATTGGGAAAGCCTCAAAGATCTCTGACATGTCCTGGAGTCATTTTCCCCATTGTCTTAGGCTATTAACATTTGGCTTCTTGTAACTTATGCAAATTTCTGCAGCAGGATTGAATTACTCCCCAGAATATGAGTTTTCTCTTCTACCACATGGTCAGGCAGCAAATTTTGCAAACTTTTATACTCTGTCACTCTTGAACATTTTGCTGCTTAGAAATTTCCTACTCCAGTTACCCTAAATCATCTCTCTCAACTTCAAAGTTCCACACATCTTCAGGGCAGGGGCAAATTGACACTAGTCTCTTTGCTACAGCATAGCAAGAGTGACCTTTGCTCCAGTTCCTAATAAGTTTCTCATCTCCATCTAAGACCGCTTCAGCCTGGACTTCATTGTCCATATCTCTATAAGCATTTTGGTCAAAACCATTGAACAAGTCTCAAGGGGGTTCCAAACTTTCCCTCATCTTCCTATCTTCTTCTGAGCCCCCTAAGCTGTTCCAACCTCTGCCTGTTACCCAGTTCCAAAGTCACTTCCACATTTTCAGGTATCTTTATAGCAGTGCCCCCTGTACCAATCTACTGTATTAGTCCACTGTCACACTGCTATAAAGAACTTCTCCAACCTGGGTAATATATCAGTAAAATAGGTTTGGCCAGACATGGTGGCTCACACCTGTAATCCTAGCACTTTGGGAGACAGGGGCAGGTGAATCACTTGAGGTCAGGAATTTGGGACTAGCCTGACCCACATCGTGAAACTCTGTCTTTGATAAAATATAAAAATTAGCTGGGCATGGTGGTGACTCCTGTAATCTCGGCTATTTGGGAGGCTGAGGCAGGAGAATCACTTGAGCTGGGGAAGCAGAGGCTGCAGTGAGCCGAGATAGTGCCACTGTACTGCAGTCTGGGTGACAGAGCGAGACTCTGTCTCAAAAAAATAATAATAATAAATAAATAAAATAGGTTTAATTGACTCACAGTTCCACATGGCTGTGGCTTCAGAAAACTTACAATAATGGCAGAAGCGGGGGCAGGCACTTCTTCACAAGGCAGCAGGAGAGAGACAAGTGGATGAAGGAGGAACTTCCAAACACTTATAAAACCATCAGATCTCATGTGAACTCACTCACTATCATGAGAACAGCATGGGGGAAGCCATCCCCATGATCCAACCACCCCCCACCAGGTCTCTGCCTCAATATCTGGGGATTACAATTCAAGATAAGATGTGAATGGTGTGAGTGGAGACACAAAGCCTAACTATATCAGGTGGCAAGTATGTGCAATAAATGATGTGAATGCAAAACAGAGCAATCTCAAGTGCTCCAGCTACCAATATCTCCTCAGTCTTCTGATATCATTCCCTTCTTGTATTTTTGATAGATTTGGAATAGTTTAATGTAATTAAGTCAAAATAGATGTATATTTTTTCAAGTTATGAGAAAAATATTGTATAGTATTCGTTAGTTCTACATGTCACTATTAGTTTATGCCTTATGGTCAGTCTGGGAAGTGTTCAGTCATTTTTTTGTTTTCAGCTCAATACTTTTTCTCTTCTCTTTCTGGATTGCCTCTCCTTATTTGTTGTTGTTTGTCTTATTCTAAAGTTCTCTAAGCTCAGTTCAGCTTTCTGTTTTCAGTCTATTTTCAGACTGGGTAATTAATATTGCTCTGTATTGAAGTTCATGAATTTATTCATCTGTCATCTCCCAGTGTGTTATTAAGCCTATCCAGAGGATTTTTTTAATTATTGTTTTACTATTTGGGTTTATAATTCCTATTGGATTTTTTAAAGCATCATCAATTTCAACATCTGTGTCTTCTTAGTGTTGTCTTTTGTTATTAATAATTGTCTTTTCCCTTTTGAGAGTTTCCTGGTCCTTAATATGAAGAGTAATTTTTAAATTTATTCTAGATATTTTAGGTGTTATATTTTGAGTACTCGATTGCAAAAATCTTATTTGGCAGGTTCCATTGCTGCCATGGTGGGTATAAGCCCAGGTTTCCCATTTGGCTTCTGCTGACATCAATCATGGGAAAAGGGAGCGGTGTCTTGTTACTTGACCATGTGGGTAGAAGTCTAGGTTCCTCAGTTGACCTCTGTTTATCTAGAAGTGTGGAGGGTGGTCATTGGCTTCTTAGGATCTTTCCTACAGTATGTAAGTTATTGTTAAAAATGATTTTTGTCTTGTAAGGCTGCTCTTTTCCTGGGCTTTTGGGTATAGAAAGTAGGCTCTTCTGGGGATTTTCTTTTTCTGTCTGAACCTCATATCAATACTGGGTTGCAGTCTTCTCCAGTGTCCTATCCAGGATACAAAGGAGTCCAAAAGAAAACCCACATGACACCCTGCTGTGTCATTCCTTGAGTCCTGAAGTCTCCAGCAACTTCAAATTCTCTACATCTTTCAGAGTCTTTTTATGTTCTTTTCCTTTTTTTTTTTTTTTTACTTTGTGTTCAAAATTTGAGTTGTACTTAGCATAAGGAAAAGGTAGAAAAGTTTGTTCCTCATTTTGCCAATACCAAGAATCCAGCAATTCCCTTTTAGTTTCTATTAATTTGTATTCTTTAAATTTTTCCAGGAGTTAATGTTTCTTTTGTAAGGCAAATGAAAATAAAGAATGAAATGACTACAGACCCAATAAACTCCAAAGAATGTTGAATTTAAAATAAGAAACTTTCTGTGTTTTGTCATAGCTTTCTATCTGTTTAGCATGTATTCATTTAGAAAAACATTTCTTAATCCTGGAATACTACAAAGTGTCATCTTTGTTAATGCTGTATGTGTTCATTCAGTGAGGAGAAAAGAACTGAAAATTTAACTTTCAGTTTGTAGGATAAATTTTACTCCGGGAATCATTTCATTCAGCACAAATCACAAAAGCCCTGATAGACTATAAAGTGCCTTGTTTGCATTTGCCTTATTTGAACTTGTATTTTTATTTACTCTCCCAGTAAATCAAATGATGTTTTTTTAGTTTCTGCAGAAAAATGTGGGCCCCCTCCACCTATTGACAATGGAGACATTACTTCATTCCTGTTGTCAGTATATGCTCCAGGTTCATCAGTTGAGTACCAGTGCCAGAACTTGTATCAACTTGAGGGTAACAATCAAATAACATGTAGAAACGGACAATGGTCAGAACCACCAAAATGCTTAGGTAAGTACTTTAATATTCTCATGGATTCTGGAAAAATCAGTGTGATGAGTCTGATATTTCACTGTTTGTAATAGAATTTTCACAGATTAACAAACAAGCATTCTGCTGAATGCTTGCCTACCAAATGTCTATATGATAGAATGTAAAGTTTAGAAATTTTTCTCTTTATATTTATATTTTATTTAAAAACATTTAGTTGATAAATAAAAAGAATACATATTTATGTTCTACAACATGTTGATTTGATATATTTATAAAGCAATGATTACTATAAATTAATTAACACATTCATCACCACCTATGGTTACCATTGTGTGTAAGTGTGTGTGTGTGTGTGTGTGTGAGAGAGAGAGAGAGAGAGAGATGAGGACTCTTAAAATCTGCTCTCTTTTCAAATTTCAAGTAAATAATACCATATTATTAGCTATTAATGTCATTACATTTCTCTATTTGATTCCCAGTTCTTGTTCATCTTATTACTGAAAGTTTGGATTCTTTCACCAATATCATAATCAAACAAAAACAGCAATGATAGGTTCTAAAATGCAACTATCTTAATATGACAATTGATGTTATGAATCTTCAGTAATAACATCTAATTATCATCCATTAAACATAGTACCTCATTTTTACATCATTTACCATTTTAAATTTACTTAAATCTATATTTTGTTTTTACAGCATTAGTTTGGAAAGGATTTTGAGAAGTAATTCCTCAACCATCATATAACATTCTACTTGAAAACCTGAGTCTATGAAGATTTGCATACTACTTAATGTTTTATGTTCATTTTTTTCTACTTTCAGATCCATGTGTAATATCACAAGAAATTATGGAAAAATATAACATAAAATTAAAGTGGACAAACCAACAAAAGCTTTATTCAAGAACAGGTGACATAGTTGAATTTGTTTGTAAATCTGGATATCATCCAACAAAATCTCATTCATTTCGAGCAATGTGTCAGAATGGGAAACTGGTATATCCCAGTTGTGAAGAAAAATAGAATCAATGGCATTACTATTAGTAAAATGCACACCTTTTTCTGAATTTACTATTATATTTGTTTTCAATTTCATTTTTCAAGTACTGTTTTACTCATTT
Source organism: Homo sapiens (assembly GCF_000001405.40). Classification (NCBI taxonomy): domain Eukaryota; kingdom Metazoa; phylum Chordata; class Mammalia; order Primates; family Hominidae; genus Homo; species Homo sapiens. The sequence continues at coordinate 724,305 of NW_025791754.1, forward strand.
TTATTCATAAATAAAGTTTTGTGTTGATTTGTGAAAATGCAATTACAATCTGAGATGTGTCACAATGGTGAGGACTATCTTCACCAAATCTAAGTAACAACCTAGGAATTGTCTTTTTTTTTCTTTTTAAAAAAATTGACAATAACTGTATATATTCATGGAGTACATAGTAATGTTTCCATATATATAATGTATAATGGTCAGTTAGGGTAATTAGTATATCCATTATCTCAAACATTTTTCATTTCTTTGGGTTAGGAGCATTAAATATTCTCCTTCCAGCTATTTGGTACTTCATAGTATATTACTGGTAACTGAAGGAATTATATCTAGACGTTACCCCAGGTATCTTGAAATGTCAATTCCTAACAGTCACAGCCTGGGAGCTCATGTTTGCCTTCTTTCAGAGCTTGTAACTATGTATATCCACATAAATAATCAAAATAATTTGTGTTTTGGTGAGAATTAGCAACTGCAATGGCTAGTTTTATGTGTCAACTTGGCTAAGCTATCAAGCCTAGTTATTTAATCAAATGTTAATCTAAGTGTTGCTGTGAAGAAGGTATTTTATAGATGGAGTTAATAACATCTACAATAAGTTGACTTTAAGTAAAGATTACCCTTGATAATGTGGGTGGGTCACATTCAGTCAATTGAAGCAGTTAGAGTCAAAACTTAGGCTTCCCAAAGAAGAAGTTCTACCTCAAGACTGTAACATCAACCCTTGTCTGAGCTTCTACTCCATTAGCCTATGAATTTTGGACTTGCATATACCCACAAATTAAGTAAACCAATAGCATAAAAATATCTCTCTCTATCTCATCTATCTACATACATCTCACACTGTACATTCTGTTTCTCTGGGAAACACTAATACATCATCTTACCACTTAATTTTTTTAACCAATTAAAATCTGTCACTATCTTCCTAGGATTTGTATCACTTAATATTCACTAGAGAGGTTAGTTTAATCAATTATAAAATTCTCATTTAACAAGAATAACTAAGACCTGGTGAAGAGAGAACTTTTCCAAAGTCTGACTATAAGCTGGTAATTGAATTCACCATCAAATTACAAATCATTTATTTTAAAGAATCTGGGGTTAAAATTAACCTGGCAGGCACCAATATTTTTCTGTTTTGCAAAACAGACCACATATTTAATGTTATTTCTCTAATATTTATGGTCATCTGATCTCTAAAACCTGGCGCTTGGAAGGTAGGATCTGTTGATGAAGGGTCAGAGCGAAGGAGTGCCATGATTTAAACTGTATCTTCCCAAATCTCCATCAGAACCTTTGACACACATTTTTCGTTCAAATATTTCTCTCAATATTGCTGGGTTAAATTGTTCATTTTCTTTACTTTCCACCATGAGATGTTTTAATTTCACCAAACTTGTTAGCAGCAACCAAGAAATTGTATGTCTACTAATTTCTCCATCATATTGTATCTTATTCTAAATACATTTTTTCACAAATTCTGGAGTCAAAGTCATATAATCCAAACTCCACTCCTACTATTCATCCCAGATAATCTTCCTCAGAGGATTTTCCCTTCAAAGAAAAAGTGGATTGGTAACACCCTGGCAATAGAAGTTTGTCAGACCCTCCATCCTACCCTTTTTTTAATTTCATGGTGCCTTTACCATTTCATGAAGAGGGTGGGAAGCTGAGTGTCCATTTCTGATACCACTCTGCAACTCCTACACTGCAGTGATCACAGCTAACAGCAGTGATCTTGCTTTCAGAACTAACAATTCACACTTTTACCTATCATTACATCCACTTTTAAAAGTTATTTTAAACAGCAATAATGTCAAGAGCATAGTGAGAATTGTAACTCCCACGTGTGGCTTCTGACTGTCCAAATCTGTCCTCAGAATGCACGTGGCTAAGAGAGACAATAGTTGATGAGTGTCTGTCATCTCTTAAGTTCCTCCATCTCTTGTACTTTATGAGTCGATGAGCTCCCTCAGCTGCATCTTATGAAATCCAGTTTTTATTATACTTATTTTAGATGAACAACCTAAAAAGCATGATTTGAGCACCTTAACCCAGATTCTTATTTATCTTGGATCTGGTGTACAAGTTTCTCTTGCAAGAATTTTAACAAGGGTCACATTATCAGTCTTCTATGAAATTAGAGAAAACATCAGACTTGTTTTTAAACCTTTTCTTAAAGAAACATGCAGAAAACCCAAAAACATGGGTGAGCACTACGTAGGTAAAGAAATAAAACATTACTATTTCATCAGAAATACAATTTGACTTTGAAAACTTAAATTTAAATATGATTTCTAAAATAGTTAAGACTTGGTTATATTTGACGTCACCAACAAAGACGAACTAGATAAGTAATCATAATGGAGTATATTCTTAATTACAATCATTTTTATGACACGTATGTACCTCAGAGTGGAGATAATTAAAATATTAGCATGTAATGCAGCATAGTTACATTATACAGATCAAAGATGTCCACAAATAATTTGAAAATCCTCTGATTTAGTGACCTATTTCCCCATCATCTTGAACTTGTGCTAACCCATGACTGCTTTGACTAATAGGATACAGTATAAGTATCTCTACGTCAATTATGGATAAAAGCTTTTAAAAAAATAGCAGCTTGGTCTCTCGTAGCTTCTAACCAGTATGCGAGAATTCTTACTACCCTGTAGAGAGGCCCTGAGAGTGACAGGAGTCACCCGAACCCCAAATTTCACCCATTGTTGGCAAAGCACCAAATATATGACTGAAGACATATTAAACCCTCAATTCCAGAATATGTGCCAGATAAATAACATTGAATGTCTTTATTAATGCCCCAAAAAACAAAAGAATTATCCGTCTGAATCCCACCAAAATTACTGTCCCATAGAATTGTGAGATGTCATTAAATGGTGTATTAGAAAAGAATTAACATCTCAAAACACTAAACTAAGCTTACAATATAAGAAAGCAGGAAACAATTAATATTAGTGCAGAAATCAATGAAGCAAATTCAATTTAGAAAAAAATCTATTTTAGTAATCTTCTCAAAGAACAAATGAAATGAACCAATGCTAATTCTTTCAGAAGAATAATAAATTTATTTTTAGCAAGAATAACGAAGGGAAAAAAAGCAGACACAAATTACCTGCCATTTGAGATGGTATAGGGCATTAATTAAAATTCCTCTAATAACTTAAGGGTATAAAATTATTTTAATTTTTGAAGTGTCCAAATGGTTTTATCTGAAAAACATACCAAAAGAGGAGAGAATGCACAAAGTAGTTCCATCATTAAATAAGCATTGTATACGAAAGAAAATTCTACAAGAGGGTACAGTAGCAGCCCTGGTCATATTCATAAGTAAATAGCTTCTCTTCTTCTGGGACTCACTGCAGAGACTGTTGAGGCTCTGTCTTAGGCTATAGAAGTAAGAATTTAAACAAGGGATCTTTCACTAGACCATCTGCTGCAGGAGGCTAAATGATCAGCCTATCTCTCTGATGGCCATTCATAAAAGAATGGTCACTTCTCTACCCGGAAAGTTGTGGCAGATCCTCATGGGAAAATATAAGACTAAACCAGCCCAGTGGGCTAAACTTTAATCTCTATTCCTAGCTATTATGGAAGATTTTAGATTTTGAGTACATAAAAAACGCAATCACATGGGTTGATACCAATCCACTGTCAGGGATTAATTCATAGGAAAGCAGTTGATTCAAATACTTCTTGCCTGATACACTACCTTTATGGGAATTCAAATTGGGACATGTAGATACCTACCAAAATAAAAACTCCACCAGGACTGGAAAGGAATTGGAGTCAACAAATAGATATTTTGGGTCTTTACCTAGAAGTGGCTACTTAGGTACATGAAATGAATGGTCACAGAAGGACCCAAACCAACACCAGCACCAGAAAAGGCACAAATTGTTAATCATAATTGCCCAGTTTCTTAGTAAGAGATGTAAGATTAAAAAATGCATTGGGACATATCCACAGGAATGATGGACCAGCATAGAGCTAATAAATAGATTTTATTACGTGGTTGTTTTTTGTTTTTGTTTGTTTGTTTGTTTGTTTTTTGAGACGGAGTCTTGCTCTGTCGCCTTGGCTGGAGTGCAGTGGCATGATCTCAGCTCACTGCAATCTCTGCCTCCCGGGTTCAAGCGATTATTCTGCCTCAGCCTCCCAAGTAGCTGGGACTACAAGCTCGCGCCACCAAATCCGGCCAATTTTTGTATTTTTAGTGGAGACGGGTTTTCACCATATTGTTTGTTTTTAACAACAGGAAGATTAAGCAAGATTTGAAGGCCATTGACACTTGGTTTTTTCATGGAAGTTAAATCTAATACATGACAATTAAAGAATTGAAATTATTAGCCGGGCGCGATGGCTCACGCCTGTAATCCCAGCACTTTGGAAGGCGGAGGCAGACGGATCATGAGGTCAGGAGATCGTCACCATCCTGGCTAACACGGTAAAAACCCCGTCTCTACTAAAAATACAAAAACAAAAAATTAGTTGGGCATGCTGGCTGGTGCCTGTAGTCTCCGCTACTCGGGAGGCTGAGGCAGGAGAATGGCGAGAACCCCGGAGGCAGAGCTTGTAGTGAGCCGAGATTACGCCACTGCACTGCAGCCTGGGCGAAAGAGCAAGAATCCGTCTCAAAAAAAAAAAAAAAAAAAAGAATTGAAACTATTTTTGCCTAGCAAGTTACATTCTTCTGATGAAGGATACTATATTACAGCACATGGTATACAACAGTGGTCAAAGAAACACCACATCAAATGAACATATAGTATCCTTTATCATCTGCAGAGTAGTGGAAATATTTGGAATCATTAATTGAAATATCTGCTTAAAAAAACTAAAGTCAGGGTAGTGCAGTGATAAAGGACGAAAAGGCTCATTTACTAAGTTGTGCATTAAAATTAAGCATGAGACGATCATGTGGTTTTTGTCATTTGTTCTGTTTATGTGGTGAATAACATTTATTGATTTACGTATGTTGAACCAACATTGCATCCCATGGATAAAGCCTACTTGATTGCAGTGTATTAGCTTTTTGATGTGCTGCTGGATACATCGTGATTGTTTTGTTTTGTTTTGTTTTGTTTTTTAGGATTTTTGTGTCTATATTCATCAGGATACTGGCCTGCAGTTTTCTTTTTTGTTGTATCTCTGCTAGGTTTTGGTATCAGGATGATGCTGGTCTCATAAAATGAATTAGCAAGGAGTCCCTCCTCCTCAATTTTTTGGAATGGTTTCAGTAGGAATGGTACCTGCTCTTCCTTACATATCTAGTAGAATTCAGCTGAGAACCTGGCTGGTGCTGGGCTTTTTCTGGTTGGTAGGATTTTATTACTGATTCATTTTTGGAATTCACCATTGGTCTGTACAGAGATTCAATCTAAATGCCCATCAATGGTAGACTGGATTTTAAAAATGTGGTACACATACACCATGGAATACTATGTAGCCACAAAAAAGAATGAGATTTTGTCCTTTGAAGGAACATGGATGGAGCTGGAGGCCATTATCTAAGCAAACTAACACAGGAACAGAAAACCCAAAACCCCATGTTCTCACTTATAAGTGGAAGCTAAACATCAAATACATATGGACACAAAGAAGAGAACAACAAATATTGGGGCCTTCTTGAGGGTGGAGGATGGGAGGGTGAAGACAGAAAAACCATCTTTCAGGTGCTATGCTTATTACCTGGGTGACAAAATAATTTGTACATCAAACCCCCCCATGACATGCAATTTACCTACGTAGCAAACCCGCACATATACTCCTGAATCTAAAACAAAAGTAAAACATAAAAATAAAAAGGTAAACATGAGATAAATCAAAGATGGCTTACTATTAGATAAATTTCCTAGATACAGAGGTAGAGGAAACAACGATTTGGGGATGAAACCAGCACGTATCTACAAGTCTTTCCAAACACATCACAATTTTCTTCTTTTCTGCCTTACGCTATAATTTCTGAGTCCAGTTTAAAATGAACAGATCTTGAAGCATCACTCATATTTAAACAGGAGTTACTGTCTATAGTTTTTAATTTAACTGAATTCAGAAGGGGTTGCTGGACCAGATGGAGGACTGGCAAATGACAGTCATGGGGAACTGTGGCCTGCTGCCTATTTTTGTAGGGCTCTGACTACAATAGATTTTATATTTTGACATCTTTTTAAATTTAAAATAAGAATAACATTTTTATAATTAAAATTATATTCATAAAATTTATATGAAATTCACATTTGTGTCCATAAAGTTTTATTGGAACACAACCATGTTCACTAGTTTACATATTCCCCATGGCTGTTTTCACACTATCAGGGTACAACAGAGTAGTTGCAACAGAAACCACAGAAGCTAGAATGTCCCGTCCTCTCACCTGGCCTAACTGGGCCTTCAGGTACAAATGCTTTGTTACCAAGTAGAAGTAGCAGGCCAGTAAGTGTGTACATTTCTAATCCTACCCCATATGAATGAAAATAAATCATGAGAGAGGCACTGGCACGATTCTTATTTCCAGTGAATGGATTAGCTCGATGGTCAAGCCTGATGTTTCTTTTTGGAGAGGAAAGTTTGGGTTAAAATAAGTGATAGATAAAAAGAAAGTGGCATAATTACCTAAATAAGATATCTCACAAATATACTATTAAAAGGGAATAGTTATTAAAAGGGAATAGTTATGTATTAACTATTAAAAGGGAATAGTTATGTAACTATTAAAAGGGAAAATCAAACATAGCTTTGTTTACGACAGCCTTAGAGCAAGAAAATAATTTTCTCTCTTACCTTTTATTCAGACACCTGTAAGAGTGAAATAAATTGTCTCTCTAAGACCCTACCATTTCTAGAGCAAAATGCCACGGATCTGGGAGGCAGCAGGCTTGAGCAACATCGTTACTGGAGTGATGTACAGCATATGCTTCAGTGAAACAAAGGAAATTCAGGTTTCACACACACACATGCTGATGTGGTTTGTATCTGGAGATAAAATGCATCCTGTATGACCCAGTGGTGGTAGGACAAAGAAGTCTGTGTGTGAGTTCCATGGATGGATCCCTCAACAAACAACCCTCTCCTACTGTTGCTGTGCCCTTTGCCTGTGATACAGCCCTTTTTTGAGTATAAGCTGCTTGAGTCCTGTGAATTTCTTCAGCAATCCAACACCAACATTCTTACCACCTGGTAAGACTAAACAACTTAATATATATAAAAGCAAATAAAATACTTCTACGTGAAAACTATCTCAATAAATGTCTATGTCTTTCATTAAATACTGCTTCACTGATTAAATAATGTATAGGTATAGGAAGCATGTCCCTATCTCTGAGTTTCATCTGCAAAATGGAGATAACATCTTTGAAATCAGATTTTAATTCATAAATGTATGTAAATAGTTTTCAGTGTAGTGGGTATTCAACAATATCTATAACCATATAGTAAGTATGCAGTAAATCAATGAAGCTGTTATTATCATTAATATTACTCAAAGGAAAAATAAAGCATGATTAGTAGAAACCTGCTTCTTCATTTTGTATCAGTCTGTGTAACAAAAATCTTTTCTCCAGCACATTGATCACACAGGTAAGCAGCAGTGAGATGAAGGAGCTTATAGATACAGCAGATACAAAACCCCACAGGGTAGACATATAAAAATTATAGCAATATAATAAGCACATTAATAGTAAAGGATGGAAGACACTATACTAATGTAGAGAAGAAATAAACACTTTCTTGGAGGCCAGGAAATAGATCTGAAAGGAAATGACATTTCATGTGAGATTCAAACTTGAATATAACTTTGGTAGGTAGACATGGACAAAATCAACACTTAGGAGAAACAGAATGTGAAAGACCAACAAGAAAAAGAAAAAGCATAACTGCGAAGCTTCAAAAAATCAGCATGACTAGAACTCAGAAAATTCATTGTGATGGGTGATGTGAGGTAGGGAGGAATCAGAAAAGATTTTATAGACCTGACAAGGAGACTGAACTTTACTCAGAGAGTGATCAGCGAGCCACTGATGGATTTTAAGCAAGTGAGATGCATAGACAGACGGACCATGGTTTCATGAGTGTGGATCCTGGATTACAGTCGGGAGTTAACAATATATAATGTTCAGGTAGAAGAGCTATTTCAGACATCAGTTTCTACTGTGTTTAATTTTTGTAATATCTAGTACAATAGCCATATGAAATGAATTTCACATTTATCAACACATAAGAAATACTTAAAGTATCAGGTTTGTTACTTCACAAAGGTGAAATACTAAAATATTTGAGAATACAAAAATGGGCTTTGTAGCCCAAATAAACATCAAATTCAAGAAAAAATTATCTGAAAATTTCATGCAAATCATGTATGATAGAAAAATTATAACGTTAAAAACTGATTCAATTATTGAGAAAAGCAATGATGTTCCAGTAGAAAAGTACAAGCATAAATAATTCACACAGTTAAAGCACAATAGTCAACAAGTAAATGGAAAGTGTTCAAATTAATTTAAGTAATTTTGAAAAGAACAGTAGAATGTTTAATTATAAAATTAGTAAGATTAAATATTTAAGCCTATACAGTTATGGTAAAATCAGTTTACATATACATAGTTTGAGTCAGCATAAACAGATACGTATGGATTTATAAACAAAATGCTGAGGTTTAGCCAGAACCCTAAAAATGCACTAATATTTTGTCATTTCCTTTTTACTACTTAAAATTTATGTAATAAATTTTTAAAATATCATGTACAATTAATTTTCCTGCAACTCCATTACAACAAGAAAAACTGAGAGAAGTTTCACTATCCAAAAAGATAATAAATTATATTATAGAAGTTATAAGTAAGCATACATTAAAATAATCAAAATAATATTAATGATTTCAAATATAATATGAAATGTAAAATCTTCTATACAGTTCTTAAATGATTTTTAAAACTATCCACAAATATTCAAGAAAATAGAAAACTATTGAAAGTGATTGAGAGACAAAGAAAGGAGAAAGCGTAAAGCTGGACTGTTTTGGAAACAAAAAGTTATCCTGATTGAGTTGAAAAAAGGCTGAAGAAGGTAATGAAGGTGTTTTCCATTAGCAACCATTTGTAAATTAGTTTCAGGGCACAAAACGTGATATAAAACATCTGAGAGCATTTTTAGTTAACTTGCACAGTTCTGCTATAAGACATATTTCTAAAATGGTTTGGTCCTGAGCGTCGGTAGGAAGAATATGTTCTGTAAGTAAAGATGGGATGTATGGCAGGGACTTTATGGAGTACAGCTGGAGAACCCTGGAGCTCTCAGCAAGGGAGAAGGCTATGTATTAAGTAAACTCTTGCATGATCATCTTACGTGATCCCTGGAGGAAAATAGTGGGAGTAGGACATCACAACCTGTTCTCATTTCTTTGCTCAGTTAGGAGATTAAAAGTCAAATAATTATCCATTAAAACTTATCACCTGCGATGGCTCAAGTCTGTACTTGAGGTGGCTCAAGTACAAGTACAAGTCTGTACTGCGGTGGCTCAAGTCAAACCCAGCACTTGGGGAGGCTGAGGCAGGCAGATCATGAGGTCAGGAGATCAAGACCATCCTGGCCAACATGGTGAAGCCGTGTCTCTACTAAAAATACAAAAATTAGCTGGGCATGGTGGTGCGTGCCTGTAGTCCCAGCTACTCAGGAGGCTGAGGCAGGAGAATCACTTGAACCTTGGAGGCAGAGGCTGCAGTGAGCCAAAATCACACCACTACTGCACTTCAGCTTGGGCAACAGAACAAGACTCTGCCTCAAAAAAAACAAAAAACAAAAAACAAAACAAAAAAAACCTTATTAACTGATGAAACACAATGGGCACCAAAAACAGAGAACACAAAACAAACAAAAAAGATGAAAATAAAATGTGTTGTAGTTAGTAACATTATATAGAATTTTAGAAATAATTTAATGTTTGTACTTAATATGTGCATAAATTAATTAATTAAAAGTTTCTGAAGGTTTTTTCTTTTAGACAGGGCCTCATTCTGTTGCCCAGGCTGGAGTGCAGCGGCACGGTCTTGGTTCACTGCAGCCTCCACCTCCCGGGTCCAAGAGATTCTCGTGCCTCAGCATCCTAAGTAGATGGGATTACAGGAGTGCGCTACCAGTCCCGGCTAATTTTTTTATATTTTTAGTAGAGACAGGGACTCGCCATGTTAACCAAGCTGGTCTCAGACTCCTGGCCTCAAGTATTCTGCCCACTTCGGCCTCCCAAAGTATTGAGATTACAGGTGTGAGCCACTGCAACTGGCCTAATTAAAAGTTTAATAGGATTTAGCTTCAGGTCTTTGAAGATTGGTTTTTCTCTTTACTTAAGTAAATATTTCAGATTTGGTCTTTTTATTAGGAAACTTGTTGAAAAAAATTTTCATCCTATCAAATGATATCTTAAAACTGTGATAAACATTAATTGTGGAGTAATGTACATAAACTATGTGTTGACATACAAATTATTTATAGTTCTTTACCATATATTACATTTTTATTTATATATTAATATTTATTTATATGTTGCTTATATGATGTGTTATATCCACACAGATCTATTTTTCTAGAGACAATGCCAATTCTAAATTATTTTCATATTTTGCCATCACAATATATACAAATGTATACACATGTACATACCTATTTTCTATTCATCATAATCCAGTTGTAATTATATCTCGGATTTTTTATTTGGGGTGAGCTTTTGCTTCCTTGTTTTATGATTCTTTGTTCATTCTAAATTTTCTTCACTGAAAGTACATTATGTTTACAGTCAGAAAAATGATAGTATAAAAAACTTACCCAGGCAGTATCTTAGCTGAACTAGCAGGGGCAGACACGGCTCAGCTTTCTGCTAAAAGATTTCATGACAGGCAAAGAAAAGAAAGGAGAACGGAATTGAATAGAGATTTAAAATCTGTACTCTTATCCCAACCTACGTAAATCTTAGGCATGAGAGGACTGCAGTATAAAGCTACTCAGATCCTCTACCTTGATTTTTGTGTTGTTCTGTATTGTTATCTTCTTGGAGACACTTCAAAAGAGTTTACACTTGATTTGACTCCAAAAATGTTATAGTGTCTTCTTTAACAATGATGTTATTAAATACTTTTGCATTCTGGGTTACATATAGTTCTCTGTTTCTTAATCACTAACGACAAGTGGTAATGAGTTAAATGAATAAAATGCATCAATGACATCATTGAAATATAAGCTGTATATTCTTTAATTCAGGATATTTATTTGTTTTTTTCTCCCAAGAGAAATTTGTAGATATGCAGAAATAAAACAAGGACAATTATATGACCAAGATAAATATAAACCAACTTTACCAGTTCACAAGAAAAAAAAACTGTTCTATTACTCCTGTGAATATAGCTTTGTATCTCCTTCAAATCCCCTATAGACTCACGTAACATGCACAGAGAAAGAATGGGTATCAACAGTGAAGTGTCTTAGTAAGTAAATGCCCTGATCATTATCTGCATAAATCATTCGGTGAGTAGAGAGGGATGCCTCAAAAGGGATCTGTGTCTTGACAGGGGCAAGGTCTAAAAGAGCCTGAAGAGATGACAGATGTAGCCCTTATATTATTTGGGAGCATTTTATGAAAATCAAGTGAGAAGGAAAGACGTAAAGCTTTGGGGACTATCTATTCCCCAAATATAATATTTCTATTCATAGAAATATTTGAATTATTTCTAAAATGGACAAAAGCCTTGATACTTGATACCTATTTTCTAATATGTATTTTTGTCAATATGAAAATAAGTATTTCCTAGGAAAATCAAGGAAGAATTAAGTAGAGAGCAATACCATGTTCTTGGGCTAGAATACTCAACAGGATAAATAAATAAATTTTTCTCAAATTGTACTATAGGCTTAACATAATTACTTATTAAAATTTCAACAGAATTCTTTGTAAATATAGATCATTTCATACTAAATTTATATTAAAATGCACAGGAGTTAGAATGGCTGAAACATTTTTTTAAAATAATAAAGTTGAAAGGATCACACAAATCAAATTTGAGGCCTCAAAATATAGCTACCATATTAAAAACAGTATAGTATTGATGGAGGGATAGACATAAATCAATAGAACAGATACAGAATCCAGAAAAGGTCATATAATTGTCCTTGTTTTATTTCTGCATATCCACAAATTTCTCTTGGGAGAAAAAACAAATAAATATAATATTTCTATTCATAGAAATATTTGTATTATTTCTAAAATGGACAAAAGCCTTGATAGTTGATACCTATTTTCTAATATGTATTTTTGTCAATATGAAAAGAAGTATTCCCTAGGAAAATCAAGGAAGAATTAAATAGAGAGCAATACCATGTTCTTGGGCTAGAATACTCAACAGGATAAATAAATAAATTTTTCTCAAATTGTACTATAGGCTTAACATAATTACTTATTAAAATTTCAACAGAATTCTTTGTAAATATAGATCATTCCATACTAAATTTATATTAAAATGCACAGGAGTTAGAATGGCTGAAACATTTTTTTAAAATAATAAAGTTGAAAGGATCACAAAAATCAAATTTGAGGCCTCAAAATATAGCTACCATATTAGAAACAATATAGTATTGATGGAGGGATAGACATAAATCAATAGAACAGATACAGAATCCAGAAATAGACCCACACAAATATGCTCAAGTAACTTTTAACAAAGATGCACAAATAATTCAATACAGAAAAGATCCTTTTTTTTTTTTTAGTTCAGGGCTACCTGTGCAGGTTTGTTACATAGGTAAACTTGTTTCATGGGAGTTAGTTTTACAGAGTATTCTGTCACCCAGGTATTCAGCCTGGTAGCCATTAGTTATTTTTCCTATTCCTTTCCCTCTTCCCACCCTTCACCGTCCATTAGGCCCCAGTGTGTGTTGTTCCCCTCTATGTGTTCATGTTTTCTCATGATTGAGCTCATACTTAGAAGTGAGAATGTGTGGCATGTGGTTGAGAAAAGTTTCTTTTCAACAAATTGTGTTGGGGACTAGCACTTTCTTAGCCAAAAAATTAATTTTGATTTAATCTCACATATTTTACAAAACCTAACTCCAAATGGTTCCTATATCTAAATGCATAATGTAAAACAATCAAACTTGTAGAGGAAGAGAAAATCTTTGTGACCTGGGGTTTGATGGAATTGTTCTTAAACAGGACACCTAAAGGATGACCCATAAAAGAGTGAAATAATAATAATACTTTATCAACATTAAACACTTTTTATCCATGAAAGACATTCTATGAGAGTGAAAAGATAAGCTACTTATTAGCAAAAAATATTTGCAAATAACATATCTGACAGAGGACTTATACATGGAATATATAAAGAATGCTCTAAACACAGGTAAAACAATCCAATCAATAAAGGTGCCAAAGCCTTGAACAGATCTAACAAAAAAGATATTCAGATGGAAAATAAACATGTGAAAAGTTATTCAATGTCATTAACCATTAGGGAATACACATTAAAACCACAATGAGATTTACTATGTATCTAATAAAATGCTTTAAAAAAATTAAATGAAACACATTGGTAATAGTAAGTGCAAGTGAAAATGCAATACAATGGATCTCTCATACATTGCTTGTGGAAATGTAAAATGTCATAGCCACTATGGAAAACAGACAATTTCTTATAGAGTTCAATAGCACTTTTCATAAAACCCAGTAATCTCACCCCTGACTGTTTACCATAGGGCAGGAGATGGCAAACTATATCTTAGGAACTAGCTATCTATTTTCTTAATAAAGATGTATTGGATGTGAGCCACACCTTTTTATTTATGTATTGTCTATCATTATTTTGGCTCTATAACTACAAAGTTAGGTAGTTGTGGCAGAGGCCATATGGTTCACAACCTTAAAATACTAAACATATGACCCTTCGAGAACAAGTTTGCTGTTCAAGTAAAACATTGCACAAAATTGTCCATCATAGCTTTATGTGTAATAGCCAAAAAGTAGAAGCAACTCAAATGTCCTCAGATGAGCGAAAGAATAAACAAACATGTTACATCCATACAATGGAGTACTTCACAGCAATTAAAAGAAATGAATTACTTATAATACAACAGCTTGGCTACATTTCAAGGACATTACCCTGTGTGAAAAATATCCAAATCAAAAAGTTGACTTACTGTATAATCCAATTTATATAACACTCAAAATGACTAAATTACAGTTATGTAGAACATACTAGTGATGACTAGCAATGAGGGGTGGGGGAATGTGGGGACCATAAAAGGACAGCACACGGGAGTTTTCTGGAGGTGATAGAATAGTTCTGTATACGACTGAGTAGTTCTACATATGACTGATTGTGGTGATGGTTACATGAGTGCATACATGTTGCAAAATTAATATACCACACAAACACAAACGCAAGTTCATGGGAGAGACCATGAAATTCAGTAAGGTTGGTAGCTGAGTTAGTAGTAGAGCACTAATGTCAATTTCCTGGTCTCAATTATTGTACTATAGATATAAGAGATGCAGGAAGTTATAGTTATTGGAGGAAACTGGGTAAAGGGTACATGGGCATTCTCTGTACTATTTTTATGACTTATTATATGAATCTAAGATTATTTCAAAACAAAAATTATTTGGATTATATAGGCTGGGATGTTTTACTTTTATAGCACTTTTGGGGAAGAGAATTTTCAATATTCAAGAGTTATAACCAATTTCAGCAATTTTTCTTTGAGATACTTAAATCTATCTCAAATTTTATCAGTAATAACTTCTACAAGCCAGTTTCATATGTATTTGAATGCTATAATTTGCCTTTTAACCCTTTCATATTTTTTGTAACAACAAACAGTTTCAGACTTAATTTACTTTCCCTGCACTAAACCTGGAATCCACAAAAAAAAGAGGTCCCAGTTTCCTAGATTTATAATGCTGTGTAAGAAACTTATTGGCATAAAACAGCAATCATTTTATTATACTTAAAGATACTGTTAGGAATTGACGCAGGGCACTGAGGTGATGACTTATAACTGTTCCACAATATTTGAGCCTCAGGTGAAAAGATTTAAATGGGTTAGGACTCAAATAACTGAGATTTGGAATCTGCAAATGTCACTCACCTGTATGACACCTGGGCTATTGCCTGGGCCAACTGGGACTATCAACCAGAAGATTTACATATGGCTTCTGCATACAGATTGAACTTCTTGCCAAATGGCAAAAGGCTTCCAAGATAGTGTCAGAGAGATAGTCTTCCAAAATATAAACCCATAACTCTCTAATATCTAGCAGAGTCACTACCACTGTATTGTATCAACAAAAGCATGCCACTAAAAAGTACAGATTTTCAAAATGAGGGAAATGTGATTCCAAATCTTGATAGGATCATGGCAAAATCACATGGCAGAAGAACAAGTGAGATGAGACACAGTGGAGTGAGCATCTTTCAAAATAAAATTGGCCACAAAATTGAAGACAAAGTTATTTTCTAAACTGCCCTTTTATTTCTTATCAAGTATAGTTTCCTTCTCCTTTTATTTGTTGCTAATGTTTGCAGGAGGGCATAATCTCCTGAAATTACTCAGAACAAGAAACAAACAAAAAAGGGCAATCTAAGTTTCTGAATTAGGAGAAATATTCAGCAAATAAAAAGGAGAATAATTGTTGAGTACTGGGCTTCAAAAAAAATAGACAAGAGAAGATAGTGTTAATTCAACTAAAAATCGGCACTAGCTCTGTGAAAATTAACTCTGTGCTTACAAATAAATAACATCCCCTGGATTCAGACAAACCAATGTTTAAAGGTCACAGAGATTAGAAGAAGCCAACAAAAGACTGAGATGGTGAAGCCTTTGAGACAGAAGAGAAACCAGGAGAATGTGGTGTTCCATAGACCATGTGAAGCAGGTATTTCCAAATGGAAGGGGAAAGTCATGAAATTTTTCTGAGTATTCAGTTTTGACCAATGGATTTGATTAGATTGAAGAAGGCATTGGTGACTGTTACAAGAGGGGTTTAAGCGTAGTGTTGGGAATGAAAAAATGAATTAAAGTAGAGATTGTAGATAACATTGGAGTCATCGTATTATAAAATGAGAAGTGAATTAGATTACTAGAAAGAGATTTGGGTTCTATGAACAATTTTTGAGCTTTTGTTGTTGCTCTTCATGATGAAAGATGTTTGGTATGTTTGCATATTGGTGGAAATAATTTGGAAAATGGAGAAATTAATGATACAGGTGAGAAGGAATAATTGAAAGAGCAAAATCCTTGCACAGAAAAGATGGGATCAAATCTGGTAGAGACCATAACAAGATAGGAGTAAAGATCAACATCCAGTGAAGCAGGAGACAATGCAGAAAAGGATGCGTGTGAACAGCAGGTAGTTTTCTTCTGATTGATTCTATATCTAGATGAAAAAATAAATGAAGTCATTAGCAAAGCACAAAGTGAGGATTGGTGGTTAAGGAGGGAGATAATGAAAACAGGAGAGGGGAAAAGCAGTGTGGAAATTATTTAGGACCGTGTTCATTAATTTAAAGCAAGGCAAGTCAGCACAGTTGCCTTTGTTTTTCTTGTAGACACACTCTGCTGCTTCAATTCAGGCACAGGGCAGGTAGAGAATTTATTTGCAAAGGATTGAGGTTTTCTAAGACTTGGATTACAGATAGAAAGGAACGAATGGGCAGGAGAGTGTGTGCAAGGGACTGACTTACAGTGATGAGCCATGGAATCTAATTTAGATGTGGTGGGAAGAGAGAAAATGAAGGGAAGAGAATAGTGAAAAAGTGTCAGGGTCATTGAATGTTTGGAACAAATTTAGTAGAGTAAGTGAGCTAAAAAGATTGTTGAAATGGTCTAGAGTGTGATGCTTAATATTTAGATACTTTAGGTAGTGTAGTAATTGGAAATGACAAGGTTTAGATAGACTAGAATCAATAGTGGAGACTACTAATAGCTCACAGGGACTTCTCTGGTTTCTTGATTGGACATAGCTATGTGCATTCCCATTGACTTCTGAACCACCATAAGTAAGTTTCCTCTTAGTGAGATCATTAGGCTGTTTCTGTAAATTTCCCCATTAAATGTTAAATTTCTCTCAGGCTGGGCACTTTGTTGCTTGCTTCAGCTAGTATCCTCTAGTCTTCTCTGATTGTTTCCCACTGTAATCTCTTTGTATTCAATAGGATCCTCGGGCATGGACCTTTCCAAGCTATAAAGTCACTCTTCTCCAGCAGGGGAGCAGAGCTTCCAGTCCACATAGCCTGCCTGCCCATCCAGGGTTCAACTTCTGAGCCACGGAATTGGGCTGCGAGACAGAGGTGGATGAAAGCATCCGCTCTCTTTTACTGAATTTTATGGAGACTTTCTGGAAAAAATATTTCCCAACATTATGCTGTTTGGCCAATTTCCAGAGACAACCAATGGTTACTTTTAAATTTTTATCCAGTTGTATTGCTGCCTTTTGGTTGGGAGTGAATATACCAAGACCCTCACATAGCCATTCTCGAAGTCCCACCTGAACAAAATGATTTTGAATTATAATTCTGTTCTTCAAACATTTCAGGAAACGTTTCTTGGCAAAAATTATTCTTTTTTTTTTTTTTTTTTTTTTGAGACAGAGTCTCGCTCTGTCGCCCAGGCTGGAGTGCAGTGGCGCGATCTCCACTCACGGCAAGCTCTGCCTCCCGGTTTTACGCCATTCTCCTGCCTCAGCCTCCCGAGTAGCTGGGACTACAGGCGCCCACCACCACGCCTGGCTAAATTTTTTTTGTATTTTTCAGTAGAGACGGATTTCGCCGTGTTAGCCAGGATGGTCTCGATCTCCTGACCTTGTGATCCACCCGCCTCGGCCTCCCAAAGTGCTGGGATTACAGGCTTGAGCCATTGCGCCCGGCCAGCAAAAATAATTCTTGATTAGACCTTTTATAGTTTATGAAATATTAAAACTGTTAAGAAGGTACCTAATTCTTAGTGCCAGTTTTAAAAGGGAATTTACAACTACAAAAGTGATATTGTTGTATTAAGATGAGGACTGATGACTTGCACTTGCTTGCCTTTTGAAACAGCTGAACCCTTGGCAAGAAAAAAAAAAAAACCCAGGGGGCCAGCGGTGGGGAGCTTCCTCTCTCCTCTAAACAGTCCATTTCTGATTGTTCCAAACTCAGAGACTCGGTGACTACAACAAGGAAATTGAACAGCAGTTACTTTGCTTAAATAAATATTACATAACGAGCTGAGAATATTATTGTGAAGACACTGATTAGATACTATTTGCTTATTTCACACAACCCTCCATGAACTTTGATGTTTTCCACAAAGGGCTTTACTAAACTAGCTTCCCCTTAGTACATTGAAATTCAAAGTCATGCTTGTAACTGTTAATGAAAGCAGATTTAAAGCAACACCACCATCACTGGAGTATTTTTAGTTATACACGATTGAGACTACCAAGCATGTTGCTCTTATTCAGTGTAATCCTAATCTCATGGGTATCCACTGTTGGGGGAGAAGGTAAGTTGAAAACAGATCCGAATATTTTAGTTCCTTTTCAAATGTATTTATTGATTGTGTGTGTGTATGCATACAAATATTTTTAAATGAATAAATAGCTGAGGATAATTTGAAGGGGTATCACAATATTCATCTATTTTCTGGAAATATTTTCCAACATGCAATTAGCAGGAAAATCGAATGAAATTAATTCTCTCCGTTCTCTAGTTTGCTAAGGGTAAATGGTCACCAAATAGATAATGTAAAGAGAAATCAAAGGAGAGAAAATCTGCTATAATAAAGATGATAAGGTGAAATATTAGTGTAATTCTGCATAAACTCTGCAATGCCACTGACTAGAAAAATCAACCCCAAAAGATTTGGCCACCTTCATTATGTTTTGAGAATTTTATTTTCATAGATTTGATAATTTACATTTTAAATGTTATTAAAATGAAGGAATTCTCATTTCAGCCTAATTACCATTCAACAGGGAAATATATTTTAATGAAACAATAGAAAATATTATTTTTATATATAAACCAGTGAACTGCCAAAAAATTGTTTCTTCTGAGCTCTTCCACAAATTTCAAAAGTGAAATAATATATCACTTCTTTATTAATACTATAAACTGATTCTTATAACATTATAAACTATCCCATTTTATTTCATGTGGAAATTAAAGCCACTATATCAAAAGGATTGCAAACAAAATCTCTAACAAGGTCTAGGATACTGATTAAACTATGTGTGTACGTGAAGTTTCAATCATTGTGCTATATACTCTTTGATTTCCAGAAAGTTTTTATTTTACTGCTTTACTGCTTTCTAATGTTTACAGATCTTTAAATTTTTTGAACACTTTCTTCTCAGTCCTGACATAAGAGAAAAATATGAACCATAAAATGCTTTCTTTTTAAGATATGCCCTTACAAATGTTGCAAAACATTATTTCTATGGGCCTAAAATTCATTTTATTTTGTTTTCACTTTTAGTACTGAGCTATAATCACAAGAGTGCGATTGCATGAGTGTATTTGATTTTTCTTAAGTCTGTGTTTATGATATTTATTAAGTGGCTTAAACATCTGTTACAAATGGCATTACACAAGGATTTCTAAAGGGGGGTGGAAGCAGAGGAAGATAAGTGAAAATTATGAGGATAATATGTAGAATTTTGACAATTCCTAACCCCACAAAACTTTCAAGCTTCAGTCCAGTCCCAGGATAAACTTTAGTGAAATTCTATTAAAAGTTGTCTAGGTGTTAAATGACCTGTAAGTGTGCATTACACTTTTGTTTTGGTGTCTATTTAGAAACTGGCCAAACAGCAGAAATAACAGACGAAAGCAACACTTTTGTACAAATAGAAAACTGCATGCTTCCAGTAGCAAAACATGAATCAAGCAATATATTGTGCTTCATGCTGTAGCAAAGAAGCTGGAAAGAATATGACAACGCCACCCACCCCTCACTACTACTTAGAGTGTCCTAAAAGAAAAGCAAAATGTAAATAGGCAAATAAATTGCAAGGTTTTATATATAGGTAATTGTCTGTGTGTGTGTGTGTGTGTGTGTGTGTGTGTGTGTGTGTACACTCATACATCACTTAATGATAGGAAAACGTTCTGAGAAGTGTGTCTATAGGCAATTTCGTCCTCCTGCAAACATCATAGAGTGTACTTACACAAACCTAGATTGTATAGCCTACTACCTAACTAAGCTATACGGCCTGTCACTCCTAGACTGCAAACCTGTACAGCATGTTACTGTACTGAATACTGTGGGCAACTGTAGCACAAATGTAAGAATGTGTTTACCTAAACATATAAAAGGTACAATAAAAATACAATATAAAATATTAAGAATGGCAGACTTGTATAGGGCTCTTACCGTCAATAGGGTTTGCAGGACTGAAAGTTGTTCTGGGTAAGTCACTGAGTGAGTGGTGTGCAAATATGAAGGCTTAGCACATTACCATACACTACTGTAAACTTCATGAACACTGAATACTTGAGCTAGGTAAATTTATTTTATTTATATATTTATTTCAATATTTTGGGGGGAGCAGGTGGTTTTTGGTTACATGGATAAGTTCTTTAGTGCTAATTACTGAGCTTCTGGTGCACCCAGGATAGACTAAATTTATTTTTAAAACTTTTCTTCAATAATAAATTAATTTATGATAAGCTTTCTACTTTATCAACTGAAAATCTTTTAACTTGTAACTCTTTTGTTTTAGCTTAAAACACACCTTGTATAGATGTACAAAATATTTTTTCTTTCTATCCTTATTCTGTAAGATTTTTATCTTTTAAATTATTTATTTATTTACCTTCTACACCTTTTTGTTAAAAGCAGACACAAACACACACATTAACCTCGGCCTACGGAGGGTCAGGATCATCAGTATCACTGTCTTCCTCCTCACTCTTGTTCCACTAGAAAGTCTTTAGGGCAGTAACATGCATGGAGCTGTCCTCTCCTATGATAACAAAGGCTTCTTCTGGAATAGTTCCTGAAGGACCCGCCTGAGGATGTTTTACAGTTATTTTTTTTTAATAAGTAGAAGAAGTGAACTATAAAATAATGATAACAACTATAGTACATTAAATACATTAACCAGTACCATGGTCATTTATTATCATTATCAAGTATTGTGTACTATACATAATTGTGTGTGCTATTGTTTATATGACTGGCAATGCTGTAAGTTTGTTTATACCAGCACTGCCACAAACATGTGAGTAATACATTGGATTATGATGTTGTGGTGGTCATCAGTTGATAGGAATTTTTCAGCTACATTATAATCTTATGGGACCACTGTGATATAAGTGATCAGTCATTGACCAAAACGTCATTATGTGGTAAATGACTGTATGTCTGTATATATACGTGTGTGTGTGTGTGTGTGTGTGTGTGTGTGTGTATCCCAGAAGAAATATATTCACAGTATTCTATCAGAATGTCGAGACAAGGAAAATTATTTTCTGCTTTTGGAGTGGGTTGTTGTGTAACGGCAGGCTTGCCAAAGGACGATAACACTCCTAGCACCATTGCGGATGTGCACAATGGTTATACGATGAATGTTGTAGAGCAAGTTCTAAAGGATAGGTAGAATACAACTGGATGGTGAGAACTAAGTTATTCTGGATAGCGAAGAATATGTAAGTACATATGCATGAAAATCAAGTACTATAATTTTGCAATTTTCAAAAAGTAAATGATATTTAAAAGGAGTTATGATAGGTTAATACTATCAAGACACGAGGGAGTCTTTCCCTCAGTATCTTCTCCAAAACTATCTAATGTCAATTTTTAAACAGTTAGGTAATAAATTTAAGGTTTCACAAGGTTAAATACCACAAGAATTATTTCAAATATTGTGCAACATTAAATATTACTTCTAGGTAGTTAAAAAAGAGAAATTTCCCTTGATTTGTCAGCTGAATTTCTGCATGCTTTTTCTAAATAAGGTGAAAAACAAAACAATTTCTTATGCAGCAATGCTATATTCAGAAAATATCTTGAGCTAAAAAATGAGCACACTATATTGAGGAAATATCTCGAGCTAAAACAGCATTCAAAGATAAAGTACATCAAATCCATAGAATGTACAATATCAAGAGTAAACCCTAATGTAAACTATGGACTTTAATGACAATAATACTGATAGTGAAGGGGGCTATTCATGTGGCAGGGAAGAGGAAGTGGTATATAGGAAATCTCTGTACCTTCCACTCAATTTTACAGTAAAAAAACTGTAAATAAAAAATTAAGTCTAATAAAAAATATGTGTATATATAAATATATATATACACAAGAAAAAATAGAGTCAAAACATGAATATTTCACCCATTTTCTACATTGTTTTACCATATCTTGCACCATAGTGCATATGGATGTATGTGTGAGTGTCTATATAAATATATCCAGTAGTATCCTCAGTATCATTAGTATCCTTAAGGAATTGTTCCAGGACTCTTTTCACCCCCAGCAGATACCAAAATCCACAGATGCTCAAGTCTCTAAGAGAGAATGGCGTAGTATTTGCATATAACATATGCACATCCTCTCATATAATTTAAATCATCTCTAGATTATTTATAATATCTAACATAATGTAAATACTATATAAATAATTGTTATATTGTATTTTTAATTGCATTGTTTTTATTGTTTTATTATCTTTTTATTGTTTTTTCTTTTTCAGATATTTTGGACTTGCAGTATAATAAACATTTATGTATACAGCATTTACCAGAATTTAGCTCTAATTTTATCTCGGTTGAGTTGTTCTTAGTGATTTTCTTATACTCTTTAAATTATTTCCACTGAAACCACATAAACTTTGTAACCAGAAAGTAATCAGAATATTAATAAACAAAAAATCAAATTACCTACCCAACATTTTTACTGCACCAGAAAAAAAAATAGGACAGATTTTTCTGGTGGAAATACCTATGACAGTTGATGAGAATAGAAAAAGAAATAAATCTGAGAGCTGAGAACAATCCTATCACTCCTCTACTGTACACTACATAGACCAGGGAGATTTGCTACTCTTACAGTCTGCCTTCATTCTTAAATTGTTGTGTGAGGATATTGTTCTTGAAGACATTGCAGAAGAGTTCATATTTTATATCATTCCAAAATATAAATTTTATATTCATTAACAATGACCTCGTCGGTCCGGCATGGTGGTTCATGCCTGTAATCCCGGCAGTTTGGGAGGCCGAGGCGCATGGATCACCTGAGGTCAGGAGTTTGACACCAGTCTGGCCAATATGGTGAAACCTTGTCTCTACCAAAAATACAAAAAATTAGTCAGGTGTGGTGGCAGGCACCTGTAATCTCAGGTACTCAGGAGGCTGAGGCAGGAGAATCACTTGAACCCAGTGGAGGCTGCAGTGAGCCAAGATTTGCGTGATTGTACTTCAGCCTGGGCAACAAGAGTAAAACCTGAAACTCCCTCTCAAAAAAAAAAAAGATCTCCTCAAATACTCTTCTATTCTTATTTAGGGATCTTTCTTCATTCCAAATTAGTACACTGGAAAGCATTTAAGCTAAAGGCATTTAAGCTGAATGAAAAACAAAACTATAAATGAGATGACTAAAATATAATCTAGTGATTCATCGATGTAGCTCTTTATTTAATTCTTCAGTTTTGTGTTATTTTTCCCAGGAACACTTTGTGATTTTCCAAAAATACACCATGGATTTCTGTATGATGAAGAAGATTATAACCCTTTTTCCCAAGTTCCTACAGGGGAAGTTTTCTATTACTCCTGTGAATATAATTTTGTGTCTCCTTCAAAATCCTTTTGGACTCGCATAACATGCACAGAAGAAGGATGGTCACCAACACCGAAGTGTCTCAGTGAGTAAATGCCCTGTTCATTAAATGGATGTCATTCAGTGAATAGAGAAGGATGTGCCGGACAAGATCATAAGGTCTTGATAATCACAAGGGCAATGACCAGAGGAGCTGGAAAAATGGGAGATGTAGTCCTCCTATTTTGAGACCCCTCCTATGAGAATCAATGAAGAATAAATATATCAACTGTCTTGCATTACCTGGAAATGCCCTACATGTTGAAATACATTAATTTTTTTAAACTGATGATTAATATATTTGACTGCTAATAGTTCTTTACTAATATTCATTTGGTAGCAGCCTGATCATAGTTTTCCTTTAAAATAAGTCATTTTATATAGATATTCTGTTTTGAATTTACCGTTCTCTTGCATATTGCGAGGTAAGGTTTGGTATTTTAACTTTTATATTTTCAATAAATCATTTATTTGGTCCTTCAAAGTGTAGCTATATTAATCCTCCAATAAATGTAGAGACCAGACTCCAATGATAACAGGTGCATTAAAAAAGAAAAACAATGGGAGAGAGAATAGATGAGGCAACAAAGGAGATAGTAATGGTCTTTCTCCTTTTGTAAGAAACATTTATGAGAATTGCGAGAAATATTTATATGAAGATATTGTTTTGGTGCTAGAAGAGTTTATAAACACAAGATTTTTATTATAAAAACCATACAGCAACAACATGAAATATTAACTTTCGTATATATATATATAGGAACAAAAAATATATTTCATCATTTATACGGTAGCATGACCCAAATTCTTTTGAAAATATTTACACATGATGTCAGTTTTCAAAGTTTTCCTTTCTTAATGAAATATTTTTAAATGCACTTTTTTTGCTACTTCCATCTTGTACATTAATCAATTTTTGTTCCTT
The DNA here is from genome assembly GCF_000001405.40 of Homo sapiens. NCBI lineage: Eukaryota > Metazoa > Chordata > Mammalia > Primates > Hominidae > Homo > Homo sapiens. The sequence continues at coordinate 749,089 of NW_025791754.1, forward strand.
AGGAATGTGTTCCTTTCCTTTTGTGAAAAATGGTCATTCTGAATCTTCAGGACTAATACATCTGGAAGGTGATACTGTACAAATTATTTGCAACACAGGATACAGCCTTCAAAACAATGAGAAAAACATTTCGTGTGTAGAACGGGGCTGGTCCACTCCTCCCATATGCAGCTTCACTAGTAAGCAAAATACCACTCTCTCAGTTTTGCTAATTATTTAAAGAAATAAATCTATAGTTTATAGATTAAATATAGGTTAAATATAGGTTTCACCACTACTTCTATCATTATTTATTTGATTTTCGGTTCCAATTGTGTCTAAGTAGATGTGCAATAACATAGTTTGCCTACCTATATAAATCAAATGTACGTAATAAGAAGAAATATTAGAGAAGAATACACTTTGAAGATAATCCATTAATGTAACAACTGTTTGTTGTTTATATTGTCAGGTTAGTTGACAATAAATGGTTACAAAACTGAGGTATTAAAGTGCAAATTAGTCCAATTACAGTTAAAATGTCTTATAAGGAAGTTTTTAATATTTATCTTTATTTAAATTAATATGCTTGAGTCAATAAATCATTTTCTAAGTTGTAAAAAGTCCATACTTCTGAGAGGTATGTGTATTTGTGAGCGGCTTAGAATTTGGAAAACGATTCTTTTGGAAGCCTGTGGTATAAATGATGGCACCTCACAGTCCTGTGTGAACTCTTGTAATTCTTCATCTTTATAGCTCTTCAGTAATTGTTCTTTGCCCAGCCCAATGCGATTCCATCCTATGCTTACACACCTCAGTATTCAACCAAACACTCAAGGAAACTTCCATAGTCTTTCTCTTCATACCACTTTCTCTCTGCTACTATGTCCAGTAACTTCTGGCCACCATAGTCACCAAGACTGACCTTACTAGTCTCAACTAAAGAAGACCACTGAGTTCTTCCTGGGTTCTCCCTCCTTGCACAGTCTAGAAAAGGCTTCCCAATAAACAGCTGGGCTTTCATTGACTTTGCTTTATTATTTTGAAGTATTGAGGGTTTTTTCCTTTTTTCAGTCATCACAGTTCTGTACTGGGTGATTTCCAGCATTCTGAAAATAAATTTTGTAAAATTTTCTAAATTTTTTTTCAGTGGGATGATATGTTGATAGCAGCTACTCCATCCTATCAAGAAATAGAATCTGTGGTAGGTTTTTCAAAAGATGTTATGTTATCAAATATTATTCCACATCTTCAACTCTTAATTTAAACCTCTAGAGCCAGGCACAGTGATGTGCACCTGTAGTCCCCGCCACTGGCAAGGCTGAAATAGGAGTTCAAAGCTTCAGTGAGTTATGACTGCACCAGTGCACTCCAACCCAGGCAACAAAGTGAGACCCTTCCCCACTAGAAAAACAAAACAAAGTAAAGCAAAATGAAATTTAAACCTCTAGAAATGGAGTCTTTTTAAAACAGCTGGAACTGCGATAGTTTTTCAGTAAACAGTTACGTCATGGTCTCTTTCAATTACAAGGGGTTAAAACATTATTAACATTTGCAAAAAAAAAAAATAACAAATGTTACTAACACTAGAAAATTCCAGTGATTGAAAAGGGTTCAAAATGTATAGGCTTCAGTTATGGTATAAATATTTCCATGCTTTCTCTTATCCATACCTGTTCATGTCATGAACAAGCTCTCTTCATTTTGAGAGATGATGGCTATTGTCAGACCAACAATTATATTTTAGAAGCTTGACAAATTAAGTTTGGCCAGCGTAACCCATACAAGCTGGCTCTGTGTACAGTCTGTAAGATTTTGTTAGTCTTTGAACAATTCGGTTGCTTTGTGACACAAAAAATATCCCAGGCTTAACTCATGTTTCCACTGCCCCAGAACTAGAATCAGCCATACCTCCAATAAGTCCTGGTTCCATTTAGTGGGCAATGACATTTAGAAACTAAGTTGTCAAAATAAACTTGTTTCAAAATTTAGCACATTTTATTTAATCAGAAAAAGCACATATCTTATTGTTCAAGTTCTCAGAATATTGCTGCCTTTCCCTTTCTGCCCGTTGCTTATTCCAAAAGCACAAGACAACATATTGAGGTTATCAGAGTAGATGGACAGATGGACCAAGTCAGAGTCTCCAAAGTGAAAGAATTCAGCAGAACACTCTGTGCCTAAGGTTGAATGGTAGCTCACGAACACTGTGGAAAGTTAATAAAGTTTCAGGGCAACTAGACTCCTAATGATAGCGGCACAGTCTGTTTATTCATGTAAGGTAACATCTTGCAAGTTATGGTAATCCATGTTGCAGGGATTAGTATGGCGTCATCTCTGGGGGCCGTTATTCCATTTACAACACCATGCAATAACCATATATGAATAAAGCAGCTGGAAAACCCTACATTGGCCAAGATCGATTATTTTCTTTTTATATATATATATATACTTTAAGTTCTAGGGTACATGCGCACAACATGCAGGTTTGTTACATAGGTATACATGTGTCATATTGGTTTGCTGCACCCATTAACTCGTGATTTACATTATGTATTTTGCCTAATGCTACCCCTCCCCTACCTCCCACCCTACAACAGGCCCCAGTGTGTGATGTTCCCCACCCTGTGTCCAAGTGTTCCCATTGTTCAATTCCCACCTGTGAGTGAGAACATGCAGTGTTTGGTTTTCTGTCCTTGTGATAGTTTTCTCAGAATGATGGTTTCCAGGTTCATCCATGACCCTGCAAAGGACAAGAACTCATCCTTTTTTATGGCTGCATAGTATTCCATGGTGTATGTGTGCCGCATTTTCTTAATCCAGTCTATCACTTACGGACATTTGGGCTAGTTCCAGGTCTTTGCTATTGTGAATACTGCCACAATAAACCTATGTGTGCATGTATCTTTATAGCAGCATGATTTATAATCTTATGGGTATATACCCAGTAATGAGATCACTGGGTCAAATGGTATTTCTAGTTCTAGATCCTTGAGGAATTGCCACACTGTCTACCACAATGGTTGAACTAGTTTACACTCCCAACAACAGTGTAAAAGAGTTCCTATTTCTCCACATCCTCTCTAGAATCTGTTGTTCCCTGACTTTTTAATGATCGCCATTCTAACTGGTGTGAGATGGTATCTCATTGTGGTTTTGATTTGCATTTCTCTGATGACCAGTGATGATCAGCATTTTTTCATGTGTCTGTTGGCTGAATAAATGTCTTCTTTTAAGAAGTGTCTGTTCATATCCTTTGCCCACTTTTTGATGGGGTTTTTTCTTGTAGATTTGTTTAAGTTCTTTGTAGATTCTGGCTATCAGCCCTTTATCAGATGGGTAGATTGCAAAGATTTTCTCCCATTCTGTACGTTGCCTGTTCACTCTGATGGTAGTTTCTTTTGCTGTGCAGAAGCTCTTTAGTTTAATTAGATTCCATTTGTCTATTTTGGCTTTTGTTGCCATTGCTTTTTGTGTTTTAGTCATGAAGTACTTGCCCATGCCTTTGTCCTGAATGCTAAGGCCTAGGTTTTCTTCTAGGGTTTTTATGGTTTTTAGGTCTAACATTTAAGTCTTTAATCCATCTTGAATTAATTTTTGTATAAGGTGTAAGTAAGGGATCCAGTTTCAGCTTTCTACATATGGCCAGGCAGTTTTCCCAGCACCATTTATTAAATAGGGAATCCTTTCCCCATTTCTTGTTTTTCTCAGGTTTGTCAAAGATCAAATGGTTGTAGATGTGTGGTGTTATTTCTGAGGCCTCTGTTCTGTTCCATTGGTCTATATCTCTGTTTTGGTACCAGTACCATGCTGTTTTGGTTACTTGTAGTATAGCCTTGTAGTATAGTTTGAAGTTAGGTAGCCTGATGCCTCCAGCTTTGTTCTTTTTGCTTAGGATTGTCTTGGCAATGCAGCCCCTTTTTTGATTCCATATGAACTTTAAAGTAGTTTTGTCCTATTCTGTGAAGAAAGTTAGTGGTAACTTGATGCGGATGGCATTGACTCTATAAATTACCTTGGGCAGTATGGCCATTTTCACGATATTGATTCTTCCTCTCCATGAGCATGGAAAGTTCTTCCATCTGTTTGTGTCCTCTTTTATTTCGCTGAGCAGTGGTTTGTAGTTCTCCTTGAAGAGATTCTTCACATCCCTTGTAAATAGGATTCCTAGGTATTTTATTCTCTTTGAAGTAATTGAGAAGGGGAGTTCACTCATGATTTGGCTCTCTGTCTGTCTGTTATTGGTGTATAGGAATGCTTGTGATTTTTGCACATTGATTTTGTATCCTGAGACTTTGCTGAAGTTGCTTATCAGCTTAAGGAGATTTTGGGCTGAGACGATGGGGTTTTCTAAATATACAATCATGTCATCTGCAAACAGCAACAATTTGACTTCCTCTTTTCCTAATTGAATACCCTTGATTTCTTTCTCCTGCCTGATTGCCCTGGCCAGAACTTCCAACACTATGTTGAATAGGAGTGGTAAGAGAGGGCATCCCTGTCTTGTGCTGATTTTCAAAGGGAATGCTTCCAGTTTTTGCCCATTCAGTATGATATTGGCTGTGGGTTTGTCATGAGTAGCTCTTATTATTTTGCCATATGTTCCATCAATACCTAGTTTACTGAGAGTTTTTAGCATGAAGCGCTGTTGAATTTTGTCAAAGGCCTTTTCTGCATCTATTGAGATAATCACGTGTTTTTGTCATTGGTTCTGTTTATGTGATGGATTACATTTATTAGTTTGTATATGTTGAACCAGCCTTGCATCCCAAGGATGAAGCCAACTTGATTGTGGTGGATAAGCTTTTTGATGTGCTGCTGGATTTGGTTTGCCAGTATTTTATTGAGGATTTTCACATCGATGTTCATCAGGGATATGGGTCTAAAATTCTCTTTTTTTTGTTGTGTCTCTGCCAGTCTTTGGTACCAGGATGATGCTGGCCTCATAAAATGAGTTAGGGAGTATTCACTCTTTTTCTATTGATTGGAATAGTTTCAGAAGGAATGTGACCAGCTCCTCTTTGAACCTCTGGTAGAATTCTGCTGTGAATCTGTCTGGTCCTGAACTTTTTTGGGTGGTAGGCAATTAATTATTGCCTCAATTTCAGAGCCTGTTATTGGTCTATTCAGAGATTCAACTTCTTCTTGGTTTAGTCTTGGGAGGATGTATGTGTCGAGGAATTTATCCATTTCTTCTAGATTTTCTAGTTTATTTGCGTAGAGGTGTTTATAGTATTCTCTGATGGTAGTTTGTATTTCTGTGGGATCGGTGGTGATATCCCCTTTATCATTTTTTATTGCATCTGCTTGATTCATCTCTCTTTTCTTCTTTATTAGTCTTGCTAGCAGTCTGTCTATTTTGTTAATCTTTTCAAAAAACCAGCTCCTGGATTCATTGATTTTCTGAAGGGCTTTTGTTGTCTCTATCTCCTTCAGTTCTGTTCTGATCTTAGTTATTTCTTGCCTTCTGCTAGCTTTTGAATGTGTTTGCTCTTGCTTCTCTAGTTCTTTCAATTGTGATCTTAGAGTGTTGACTTTAGATCTTTCCTTCTTTCTCTTGTGGTCATTTAGTACTATAAATTTCCCTCTACACACTGCTTTAAATGTGTCCCAGAGATTCTGGTAAGTTGTGGCTTTGTTCTCCTTGGTTTCAAAGAACATCGTTATTTCTGCCTTCATTTTGTTATTTACCTGGTAGTCATTCAGGAGCAGGGTGTTCAGTTTCCATGTAGTGGTGCGGTTTTGAGTGAGTTTCTTAATCCTGGGTTCTAACTTGCTTGCACTGTGGTATGAGAGACAGTTTGTTGTGATTTCTGTTCTTTTACATTTGCTGAGGAGTGCTTTACTTCCAACTATGTGGTCAATTTTGGGATAAGTGCTATGTGATGCTGAGAAGAATGTATATTCTGTTGATTTGAAGTGGAGAGTTCTGTAGATGTCTATTAGGTCCGCTTGGTGCAGAGCTGATTTCAAGTCCTGGATAACCTTGTTAACCTTTTGTCTCATTAATCTGTCTAATAATGACAGTGGGGTGTTAAAGTCTCCCATTATTATTGTGCAGGAGTCTAAGTCTCTTCGTAGGTCTCTAAGGACTGGCTTTATTAATCTGGGTTCTCCTGTTGGGTGCATATATATTTCGGATAGTTAGCTCTTCTTGTTGAATTGATCCCTTTACCATTATGTAATGGCCTTCTTTGTCTCTTTTCATCCTTGTTGGTTTAAATTCTGTTTTATCAGAGGCTAGGATTACAACCCCTGCTTTTTTTTTTCCTTTCCATTTGCTTGGTAGATATTCCTCCATCCCTTTATTTTGAGCCTATGTGTGTCTCTGCACGTGAGATAGGTCTCCGGAATACAGCACACTGATGGGTCTTGACTCTTTATACAATTTGCCAGTCTGTGTCTTTTAATTGGAGCACTTAGCCCATTTACATTTAAGGTTAATATTGTTATGTGTGAATTTGATCCTGTTATTGTGATGTTAGCTAGTTATTTTGCCCGTTAGTTGATGCAGTTTCTACCTAGCATAGATGGTCTTTACAATTTGGCATGTTTTTGCAGGGGCTGGTACCGGTTGTTCTTTTTCATGTTTAGTGCTTCCTTCAGGAGCTCTTGTAAGGCAGACCTGGTGGTGACAAAATCTCTCAGCATTTGCTTGTCTGTAAAGGATTTTAATTCTTCTTCACTTATGAAGCTTAGTTTGGCTGGATATGAGATTCTGGGTTGAAAATTCTTGTCTTTAGGAATGTCGAATATTGGCCCCCACTCTCTTCTGACTTGTAGAGTTTCTGCCGAGAGATCCACTATTAGTCTGATGGGCTTCCCTTTGTGGGTAACCCAACCTTTCTCTCTGGCTGCCATTAACATATTTTCCTTCATTTCAACCTTGGTGAATCTGACAATTATGTGTCCTGCTCTTCTCGAGGAGTATTTTTTTGGTGTTCTCTGCATTTCTTGAAATTGAATGTTGACCTGCCTTGCTAGGTTAAGGAAGTTCCCCTGGATAATATCCTGAAGAGTGTTTTCCAACTTGATTCCATTATCGCCCTCACTTTCAGGTACAGCAATCAAACGTAGATTTGGTTTTTCACATAGTCCCATATTTCTCGGAGGCTTTGTTCATTTCTTTTTACTCTTTTTTCTCTAAACTTTCTTCTCTCTTTATTTCATTAATTTGATCTTCAATCACTGATACCATTTCTTCCACATGATCAAATCGGCTATTGAAGCTTGTACATGCATCACGTAGTTCTCGTGCCATGGTTTTCAGCTCCATCAGGTCATTTAAGGTCTTCTCTACACTGTTTATTCTAGTTAGCCATCCATCTAATCTTTTTTCAAGGTTTTTAGCTTCCTTGCGATGGGTTCAAACATCCTCCTTTAGCTTGGAGAAGTTTGTTATTACCAATCTTCTGAAGCCTACTTCCGTCAGCTTATCAAAGTCATTCTCTGTCCAGCTTTCTTCTATTGCTGGTGAGGAGCTATGATCCTTTGGAGGAGAAGAGACACTCTGGTTTTTAGAATTTTCAGTTTTTCTGCTCTGGTTTCTCCCCATCTTTGTGGTTTTATCTACCTTTGGTCTTTGATGTTGGTGACCTACAGATGGGGTTTTGTTGTGGATGTCCTTTTTGTGGATGTTGATGCTATTTCTTTCGTTTTTTAGTTTTCCTTCTAACAATCAGGTCCCTCAGCTGCAGGTCTGTTGGATTTTGCTGGAGGTCCAGTCCAGACCCTGTTTGCCTGGGTATCACCAGCAGAGGCTGCAGAACAGCAAATATTGCAGAACAGCAAATATTGCTGCCTGCTCCTTCCTCTGGAAGCTTCATCCCAGCGGGGCACCCACCTGTATGAGGTGTCAGTTTTCCCCCTACTGGGAGGTGTCTCCCAGTTAGGCTACACGTGGGACGGGGACCCACTTGAGGAGGCAATCTGTCCGTTCTCAGAGCTCAAACACCATGCTGGGAGAACCACTGCTCTCTTCAGAGCTGTCAGACAGGGACATTTAAGTCTACAGAAGTTTCTGCTGCCTTTTGTTCAGCTATGCCCTGCCCCCAGAGGTGGAGTTTACAGAAGCAGCAGGCCTTGCTGAGCTGCAGTGGTCTCTGCCCAGTTCAAGCTTTTCCAGCTGCTTTGTTTACCTACTCAAGCCTCAGCATTGGCGGACGCCCCTCCCCCTGCCAGGCTGCTGCCTCACAGGTCGATCTCAGACTGCCACACTAGCAGTGAGCAAGGCTCTGTGGGCGTGGTAACTGCCAAGCCAGGCACAGGATACAGTCTCCTGGTGTGTCCTGGAGACTGGACACACCACTAAGACCACTGGAAAAGTGCAGTATTTGTGTGTGAGTGTCCCGATTTTCCAGGTACAGTCTGTCACGGGTTTCCTTGGCTAGGAAAGGGAAATCCCCCAACCCCTTGCACTTCTATTTTTTCTAAGACCACTGGAAAAGTGCAGTATTTGTGTGTGAGTGTCCCGATTTTCCAGGTACAGTCTGTCAGGGCCTCCCTTGGCTAGGAAAGGAAAATCCCCCAACCCCTTGCACTTCCCAGGGAGGCAATGCCCTGCTTTGCTTTGGCTCCCCCTCCATGGACTGCACCCGCTGTCCAACCAGTCCCAGTGAGATGAACCAGATACCTCAGTTGGAAATGTAGAAATCACCCATCTTCTGCATCGATCACACTGGGAGCTGCAGACCAGAGCTGTTCCTATTCGGCCATCTTGGAACAGAATCAAGATCAATTATTTTCAATGGCATTTTGTTTTTAACAATTAGTTAAAAAAAGACTATAAACAACCAATAAAGAACTGTCATGCAAAATACTGGAATAACAAACAGAGATTTAGAGATACACATTTTATTTTAGTGAATTAAGACACATTCTCTTGGGATTTGCTCAAGTAAACTGTGATCAATACATTAAAGTGCCAATAACAGTATATAAAACTAGCTAGTTTGAAAATATTTATGAGATTATTAGTTAGAACATATTTCAATTTTATTTTTGTGTATGCTTGATTTATTCAGATTATTTTTGTCTTGAATGTCAATTATTTATTTTACACAAGAATTAATATATAATTTTATAAACTAACCATTAATGAAAGATTATTAAATGAGAAAAACACACATATTCATATACATATCTATTTCTAATTGAATCAGAATATATTCATAATGAGTTAGTTTTTACAAACATATTAGTGATAGAGTTGAGTATAAGGGAAAGATTCAAAAAACCTAGATGGGTTTTTTAAAAGTCTTTGATATTTAGTTACCCTTTTGTAAAACTGGGAATAATCTGCTTTTAAATATTCCCTTCAACTTAACATTTATTAGTTGTATCCTGTTTGGGTGTTTCACATATCTACTGTTTTTTGAGACAGTGTCTCACTCTGTCACCCAGGCTGGAGTGTAGTGGTGCGATCTCGGCTCACTGCAACCTCCGCCTCCTGGGTTCAAGTGATTCACCTGCCTCAGCCTCCCTAGTAGTTGGGACTATAGGCGCCCACCACCCCATGCCTGGCTAATTTTTGTATTTTCAGTAGAGGCAGGGTTTCACCATGTTGGCCAGGCTAGTCTTGAACTCCTGACCTCAGGTGATCTGCCCACCTTGGCCTCCCAAAGTGCTGGGATTACAGACATGACCCACCATGTCAGGCCCACATATCTACTTTTTATACATCATTTTTTTTATTTGACAAAAAGTAATTAAATATGTTGCAATTTTATTTTGTTACTTGAAGGAATTTTTTGTGATTTAGTGAGAAAAAAATATTCCTATTCTGTATTATAAACAAATAATGTTATTAAACTTATTTATTAAACAATAAAATTAGAACTAATATTGCTAATTAAACAAATTAAATAATTTACTGTATGAGTAACTTCACAGGACATTCTTACTACAATCCTGAAGAGATTCTCATAGAAAATGTTACCTTGCTATATACAGTTTCCCAATTTGCCTGAGGGGTCTTAGATATATTTATTGGGTATAAATAATTAGTCTATATGTTTTCTCGAAGGCAAGAATATATTTTATACTCTGTATATGAAGCCCCTTGCATCTTATTTTTATATAGCACACATTAAATTTGTTTCTGCAATGAAAATTCACATATGTTCATTTAATTTTATTTTTAGAAGGAGAATGTCATGTTCCAATTTTAGAAGCCAATGTAGATGCTCAGCCAAAAAAAGAAAGCTACAAAGTTGGAGACGTGTTGAAATTCTCCTGCAGAAAAAATCTTATAAGAGTTGGATCAGACTCAGTTCAATGTTACCAATTTGGGTGGTCACCTAACTTTCCAACATGCAAAGGTCAGTATTTATTTTAGAAGTGATGAAACAAGAATTTGATTTTTATAATAATGCCCATATATTTTTATTGGAGCTTATATTACATCTATAATCTGACAAAGTGGTAAAATGGCAAAGGAGAAAGGATGCAGTTCTATAGTAATTGAGCTGCATAGATTATTTAGGTGTCCGTAATCAAGGAGTAATTCTACTTCTGTGTTTTACAATACATAATAGGATTTTATAGGTCAAAATATAGTAGCTGGAATTGAGACGTCTTAGGATTTTTCCATCTAGCTCAATAAAAAATTTATACTTTTTAGAAATATTGTACGAACAATGTTATATTTTATTAAGTAATTAAGAAAATAAGTCATTGCATATACGAATTATTCATTAGAAAACAGTGATGATTTATACCTGCTTCAGATGGCACTATTTTTATCAAAAATGGCTTATCACATTATTTGAAGTATGTATTAGTCCCTTTTCACAATGCTGATAAACACATACCCAAGACTGGGCAATTTACAAAAGAAAGAGTTTTAATGGACTCACAGTTTCACGTGGCTGGGGAGACCTCACAATCATGGCAGAAGGTGAAAGGCACATCTCGAATGATGGCAGACAAGAGAAGAGAGTTTGTGCAGGGAAACCTCCCTTTATAAAACCATCAGAGCTCGTGAGACTTATTCACTATCATGAGAATAGCACAGGAAAGATCCGCCCCATAATTCAATTACCTCCCACCAGGTTCTTCCCACAACACATAGGAATTGTGGGAGCTACAATTCAAGATGAGATTTGGGTGAGGACACAGCCAATCCATATCAAAGTATTTATAGATATTAATAAAAGTTATAACTATACATTGCATATGTATATTATATCACATATTTGATAACTATTTACTTTTATATAACTTTCAGATTATTGACCTACTTAAAAATCTTCAAGGGTACAACTTAATATCCTGATTATAATAAACAGCCTACAAAATATTGGGAAAGATGGACAATCAGGATGTTTAAATATAGAGAGGATATAAGATTGTACTAAGAAAATATTATTAATTTGGTGAAATGTAAAAGATATTTTGTATATGTAGGCAAATGTCTTTATGAGATAGCATTCTGAAGAATTTAGGACTAAAATTTCACTGTCATTTACTTTCAATTACTTCACAAAAAATAAGTAAATAGGGCAAAGTGTAACATTTTTATATCTAGGTAATCAGTTTATAAGTGTTCATTATGCATTCTTTCTCCTTTCATTTGCTCAAAATTGTTCATCATGAAAAGTGTCAATATTTGAGGAAACGAATGCAGTCAATACACTATGTACACTGCAAAAAACACATGTCCCCAAAAATAGAAGTGCAATATAAAGGCAATTAATTTCTAAGTCAAAAATTTAGTAACTCCACATTTTTCTATACTTATAAGACCATTTAAGCATTATTTATGGTTTCTTTATAATAGGACAAGTACGATCATGTGGTCCACCTCCTCAACTCTCCAATGGTGAAGTTAAGGAGATAAGAAAAGAGGAATATGGACACAATGAAGTAGTGGAATATGATTGCAATCCTAATTTTATAATAAACGGGCCTAAGAAAATACAATGTGTGGATGGAGAATGGACAACTTTACCCACTTGTGTTGGTAAATAAATATTAACATTTAAACAGGACAGTTACTATTACTTTGCACTTATATATAAATACACATGTAAACAGATTTAAAATATTTTCAGAGTAAGCACTCATTTTATTACATTTTCTTAGAACAAGTGAAAACATGTGGATACATACCTGAACTCGAGTACGGTTATGTTCAGCCGTCTGTCCCTCCCTATCAACATGGAGTTTCAGTCGAGGTGAATTGCAGAAATGAATATGCAATGATTGGAAATAACATGATTACCTGTATTAATGGAATATGGACAGAGCTTCCTATGTGTGTTGGTGAGAAAACATTCCTAAACTTTATATTTGATTATTTATCATTTTGATTGGGATTGTATAAAGTGTATAAATCTGGCTAGAATTACAATTTTATTGATACTGACTCTTCCTTCCACAAGTAAAATATGTCAATCCATTTATTCAGGTCTTACATTAAACTTTACCATATGGTTTTATGAATTTCTTGTTATTACTGCACAGATTTCTTCACCAATTTATTTGGGATTTTTCTGGCATGATGAATGGAAACTTTTATTAATGTATATGCTTGAATAGTTATACTTTCTATATGCAAGAATGTGATTTAATTGCATACATTATTTTTGTTTCCAGTAACCTTGTTGAATTTCTGTATTAGTTCTAATATTTAATTGGGATATTGTATTTCTACAAATGATGGCGATTTAATTTCTTTTATTTCATTGCTTTAACTTAGTCTTTACCTCAGCATGTTCCAGATAGAACAACCTAAAAAATAGCAATGTAGCTTGAGTTCTATTAAATTCCAGAGTGTTTGGAATCCCTTCATAGAAGAAGAGTAGGGGACTAGGACCCAGGAACTAGGCATGATCCTTGCTCTTTCTGGTCCCATAATTCTCTTATTTCTATTCCTAATTATCTACTTAGTTTGTCGGTTTCCTCCACAGAAGTAGTAAGTAGTAAGTAGTAAGTAAGTAGTAAGTAGTAAGTAGTAGTAGTCTATCAGCCTGTGTGCTCTACTCTTACCTTGCAGCCTCAGGACTTCCAGCCTTGACACTTAAGTACTTGCAGGTATTTTTTTTCCCGACACCCTCAGATCCTGGCCTCTTTTGTCCTATCTCTAGCAACCTCAATACATTAAAGCCTCTAATTTTGAACTTTAAAGACAAGCAGACTTTCCGCCGCTGTTCTCCTCCTTACAGAAACTGAAACAGAACCGCCTCTCTCTCCATCTCCTGGACTTTTGGATAATCAACTGGCCCACTCATTGCTGGGAAAAATTACTGTAGGTGTTGCCAGCCGTTGTCCCAGCAAATACCTGGTCAGTGGCCATCCGTGATGACCTATTGTGAGGGAATGTTTTCCACTACCAGGAGCCAGAACGCTGTTATGGGAAGATGTAGATCATATATCTTCATGGTCATCAACTTTTATGCAAGGAGTACATAAATATCAACCTCTAGCCCCATATGGGGTGAATTAAAAATAGAAACTATTGCAGAAAACACCTGTAAGCATAGAAGTAGCAGAGCACACTCCATGTCTCATTATCCCATCCTTTTACACACTAAGGAAAAGGCTCCATAACTATCTACATGTTTATGGGAAACGGGAAAAAAATGTAACAATGAGAACTACTTAGACAAGCAAGAGGCTTAGTAGGAATTTATGTTCTGAAGCTCAGTTGTGTTATTATCAGTGAGTTCTTCCCCTGAGAATACTCTGACTTACTGAGTCAGAGTTTTTGCTGAGCTTTTGAAATGTGAGTCATTGAACCTCAAGGGGGACCCAGATCTATCTCTTACTGATGCTTTGCTTCCTGCAGACTTACCCATGTATTGCCTCTTTTTATTATTTAAATGTTTTGAAGATATTTAAGATAGTTTAGTGCAAAACAATCATACATGTGTACATTTTCAGAGCCTCTAACAATTCATTTGTAGCTTCCTAAGAACTATCTTTCAGTCAAAACTCCCACTAGGAAAACCTATCTTGCACTTTCATTTCCCAGAAAACTTTCTGACCTACTTTCCTGTCATTCAAAGATGGGATACAGTTTTTTGTTTTATTTTTTCTTTTTCCAACAGCATTGTCTATTTTGTGCAATGAGATTAAGAATAAGTTTTGTGATGTTGCTTAAAAGCATCAAACATAATTATGCTATTAATATTGCAGATATTTTATTGACATAATTGTTTAGTTTCTATTTAATATTATTTTTTATAGCAACACACCAACTTAAGAGGTGCAAAATAGCAGGAGTTAATATAAAAACATTACTCAAGCTATCTGGGAAAGAATTTAATCATAATTCTAGAATACGTTACAGATGTTCAGACATCTTCAGATACAGGCACTCAGTCTGTATAAACGGGAAATGGAATCCTGAAGTAGACTGCACAGGTAAGATTTGTTTAAAACATTTTGTTGATCTTGTTGCTTCTTTACAAGAAAAATTATTTTGAAATTAGAATGTTTTTAAATTAAATATTTATTGTGGCATATAATTTCTATGCTAATAGTAAAGTAGAAACTAGTTATAATACTCTTTCCAGACAAATGTTATTCTTTAAAAGCCTTGGCTTTCTGGTAAAGATGAGAGAGTAAAGCTGTTTTTACTCTATTACAGTCTCACAAAACCTTGAAAGAAAAAAAGAAATAAAGAACTGTAAAAAAAGAACAAAACTTAATCTTCAATGACATTAAGAAACAATTAAAACCCCAATTATGCACTGTGAAACAAAACTAACAGATATTGCCAATTCTGGACCAGACAGTAGGCTGAGTAAAAAGTAGGCTGAGAAAGAAAATATATTTGAGTAATCAATTATTTCCCTAAGAAAAAGTCTCACATTCCTCGAAGGCTTATATTCAAATCATTTACTTTGAGTAATAGGATTATAAATTACAAGTAATTATAAAATGGGGCACCATATTAGATTAAAATAAACCAGAACTAGAGAAAACAAAGTGCTTATAAAGGAATGACAATAAAAGAGAGAAGATAGACTGCAGACTTCTCATCAGCAACGTCAAAAGCCGAAGAAAATAAGGTAATCTCTTCAAAGTGCTTAGTGAAAGTAACTGGCAACCAGTCATTCTATGTACCAATATAATTCACTAATGATTCCAAAATAAAGAAATTTGCAACCACAGGAAGGATAGGAGTTTACACACAAGGTCATAGTTTGAAAGAAATCATATAAAATACACATTAATGATATAAAATACTAATTTATAGCAAAAAGTGTGATGTCATTAGAAATTGTGAGGAAAAATACTGGAATATATTCTTAAACTTAAATACATAAGGATTTCAAAAAGATAAGATAACTACAATTTGTTTAAAGCAACTGGAACATTTTTATGTTTATAAAATATTTGATTTCATTATATATTTTTTCTATTTGAGGAAGAGAAATATTCTGATAGTTGAAAGAAGTTTGAAGCCTTTTATGTGTCCATGAAATGTTTACTTAAATTGGCCAGTCATTCTGCCCAAAATAATTCTCACAACTTCAAATATTAAAGCCCTATAGATGACTTTTTGTAACCACAAACAAATAACATTAAAAGTGTATAAAAAGTTATCCACTTCCTTACCTTTCATTTTGGGTAAGCAAATAATTTACTTCCAAATAACCTAGTGATGTAATGTTTAAAATATTAAGAACTATGTTATAATTACAAGGATACGTAGTAAAACCTATGAGATGCAACCTAAGCAAAATTTAGAATGATGTGGCATTCATAGTCTTAAACTTATCTATTTTGGGAAAAAGTATATATATATATATATATATATATATATATATATATATACACACACACACATATATATACACACACATATGTATATACACACACACATATATGTATATATGTATATATGTGTGTATATATATGTGTGTGTGTGTGTGTGTGTGTATATATATAATATATATGTATATCCTAAAAAGCTAGGGGGAAAATGAATTCAGATATTAGGAGGAAAAGGAAATAATAAAAGTAAAAGCAGAAGAAAATGAAATAGAACCTTGTATTTCCAACTAATCCAAGATATGAAACTAATGTTTTGAAAAGATTAATAAGCAGAGCTGTCTAAATGAGTTGACTCTAATCAAGAATGGTGTGCATACACAAATAAACATTTCTACAACCAAAGAGTAGATGAAAACTGAAATACAGGGAATAATAATATGAGTTCAATTTTTTAAATAAATAAATTACAAGCATAAAGAGAAGGAAAATACTATGAGTCATAGGTATCAAAATAAGGAAGAAGCCTTATTTAAAGTTTTGAGAAGAGCTGGTAGCTAGTAGTCTGGAAATTAGGTAAGAACGTTATTAGGTGGCAAATATTTGTTACACACCTTGCTTGTTCTTGAGAAAAATAATAAAATTTCTCATTTTATGCATCAGAAATACATGGCTTCAAGAAGTTATTTGGTCAAAATCAAGACTGGAACTTGTTTCCAGATTTTTATATCAGTGCTGTTTCAACTAGACTCTGTCTTTACTAGACAGAAATTTCTAAACAGATGTCCAATTCTAAAAGGAAAGTAAGGTGGGCAACTGAGATCATTATGTGTAATGTTCTTTTTACCTAAAATATAAAAACAATAGTATATGTGTGATATTTGAATATCTAACTCACTTAGTTGGGACTTTGTTGATGAAATTCTCATTATTATTTGTACATTTGAGATTACAGACACCTTCAGCTTCCCTATTTCCTGGCACTGGGACATCTAGGAGGCTCATAGCAGGTAACTGCTGAGTCCCTAGATTGGCAGCACAGGCCTTGAGGCTCATTCAAAAGAGTCTTGATGATACTCAATAAGTATTCATCTTTGTGACTATGTATTTAAATAAAAATACTTAAACCACCAAACAGAAATTCATAAACAACAAAAATGTTTAGTTTCCAAAATGTTTACAAAATACCTAAACAAAGAGGTAATAAGACATTAAGTAGAAGAGCTTCTAAATAATAAATAATATTGAAAACTGACCCATCTATCTATCAAATGTGCCTGATATCCTCTTTTCATGTGCTTCTCATAGACTTTCTTCAAACTCATGACCAAACTTTGCTAATCAAAAATGTATACTAACAATAATAATATCAGGCTAATTTTATTTTCTTTTGCAGTTAATTACTGAAACAACACTGATCACAAAAGACTGGTCTTGTTAATGGTTGACTAGAATAAGATGCATCTGGAACTAAGTACTTTAAGTTCACGCTTTTCTTAAACCAGTAAATAAGTAGGACGAGTCATATAAAACATAAAATACGCATCAGTGGGCCCCAGTCCCAGATATCTATCTAGATTTCCACAGGAACAGTTTCTGTTTAGATTTGCACTATTTTGCCTTTCTGACCTTGAAAAAATAAGGAAAAATCCAGTATAAAATTCCTATTTTAGACAATATGTATGTTTTGGCTTATTTTATACTGACCTCAGGTTCTGTTCAAATAATTTATTAAAGATCTGTTGTATATAATTATTATATTTTTTAATCTAGCTAAACCAGGAAAGAGTAGATATGCACTCTTCTGTCTTGATTTTTAAATGAAAATAGTATAGCGAGGAAAAAAAATAGCACTTTCAATGCAATAATTTTTTTTTTCACTGAATATGTTTTTTTTAATTATTGTTATACTTTAAGTTTTAGGGTACATGTGCACAACGTGCAGGTTTGTTACAAATGTATACATGTGTCATGTTGGTGTGCTGCACCCATTAACTCGTCATTTAGCATTAGATATATCTCCTAATGCTATCCCTCCCCCCTCCCCCCACCCCACAACAGCCCCCGGTGTGTGATGTTCCCCTTCCTGTGTCCATGTGTTCTCATTGTTCAATTCCCACCATTTTGAAGGGAAGTGTTAGTAGACAGTAGCCACCACTCTGGAAAAACATGAGATGAAGGAGATCACTGTAAGGGCATGAGCCCAGGTCAGGAGGTTTAGAAAACGCTTTGGCATCCAAGTTGACCATTTAAAACTTTTCCCTAAGAATAAGCCAAGCAACCAAAAAAGAATTTAATTCCTAGTCCAACGGAGGCATTCCAGTTATGTTCATTACCAGCCATTCTCATGTTTACAAGAAAATGCAAGTCATGGAAATCCTTTATTGAGATCTAGGGTTCAGTTATTAGGGGAAGTCATAGTTATTTCTGATTGTTGTCATTTTTATTTTTAAATTGTTTAAATTCAATGTACATAACTTTTTGAATCATATGGGTTAGTTAGAAAAAAATTAAAGAAATTTATTTGTAAATTATACAAGAGAATTGACAGGAATAATGAATAGGAGATACAAGAGAGCATCTGAAAAATTTTAAACTAATGGTTATAACAAAAAGAATCGCTTTTTAAACTGTAAACTATAGTGACACAAAAAATATTTGTTATTATAACATTTATATATAGGGAGAGAGAAAGAGAAAGTGATAGAGAGACATAGTGTGTGTGTGTCATTGAATCTTCCATTTTCCTGAAACACTACCCTATTGAGCTGTTTTTACTTAACTTTTATTAATCATATAATTTAATTCCAATATTTTGTAGAAAAAAGGGAACAATTCTGCCCACCGCCACCTCAGATACCTAATGCTCAGAATATGACAACCACAGTGAATTATCAGGATGGAGAAAAAGTAGCTGTTCTCTGTAAAGAAAACTATCTACTTCCAGAAGCAAAAGAAATTGTATGTAAAGATGGACGATGGCAATCATTACCACGCTGTGTTGGTTAGTAGTTTATTTCTAAGTAATTTCACTTAAAAAGAGGTTATTAATCCCCTTTGCTTTATCTAAAGAAAGAAACAAGAACTTATGACTAATCTGTT
The DNA here is from genome assembly GCF_000001405.40 of Homo sapiens. Taxonomy (NCBI): domain Eukaryota; kingdom Metazoa; phylum Chordata; class Mammalia; order Primates; family Hominidae; genus Homo; species Homo sapiens. The sequence goes on from NW_025791754.1 coordinate 767,893, forward strand.
GCACTGTACCCCAAAGCCTTAAATTGCTAAGTAACCAATTCTGTCATTTAAAAAAGTTTCTCTAAGAGTTATCTCCAACAGTGTTCATAGAAGAAACAAGTTTGAAATTTCTACATCTTCTTAAAAATCTTTTCTATCATATTTTTACTGTACCTTTTCTATGTTTAAATATGTTTAGATATGCAAATACTTACCATCATGTCACAATGGCCTATAGTATTCAGTATGGTAGCATGCTGTACAGGTTTGTGGCCTAGGACAGCAATACCCAACCTTTTTAGCATCAGGGACATGTTTTGTGGAAGACAATTTTTCCATGGACTGAGGAGGTTGGGGGATGGTTTCAGGATGAAACTCCTGTGCCTCAGATCATCAGGCATTAGATTCTCATAAGGAGCATGCAACCTAGGTCCCTTGCATGTGCAGTTCACAATAGGGTTCAAGATCCTATGAGAATCTAGTGCCCTGGTTGATCTGACAGGAGGTAGTAATGCTGGCAGTAATGCTCATTCGCCTGCCTCTCACTTCCTGTCATGCAGCCCGGTTCCTAAGAGGCCACAGAGGGTACTGGTCTGCAGCCAGGGGTTTGGGGACAATAGGAGCAATAGGCTGCACCATATAGCCTAGGTGTGTAGTAGGCAACATTATCTAGGTTTGTGTAGGCTCACTCCATGATGCTCACACAAGGAAAAAAGAGCCTAATGACACATTTCTCAGAATATCTTCTTGTCATTAAGTGCTACATGGCTGCATTTCAAAAGCACATATTTCAAAATATTACTTGACAAAACATCAGATATGGCAAAGAGTGCTTAGAGCTGGACAAGATGCCTGATAATTGAACAATCTATTTATCTAAATAAAAACCATTGGTAATTTTGCCTAGAGATATTTCCATAGGGGGTAAGTAATTGCAGTGTGTTCAAGAAAGAATGTGGGGTGATAAAGTAAGATCATGGAGGATGAGAAACAAGTAAATGTGTTCAAAAGGGAATAGAGAAATGAGGCAGTTACCGGATAGAAGATATGGAGAAAGTGAAATTTTACCTTATTGAATTGTGACATTTTCAGCATGTTTGTAGGTTGGTGAATGATTAAGTGGAAAGGGAGACATTGATGTTACAGAAGAAAGGAGATAATTCATGAAGAAGGATCTTTTACAAGTTTAAAGGTGAAAGAATCTAGTGTCATCATGAAGAAGTCAATCTGAGAAAGCAAGGACAGTAACTCAATGAAACTAGAGGATGTACAAGCAATTTGGGATAGGATTACTTAGTGATTTCATATTTATGTTCTTGGTGATATATAAAGGGAGATCAGTCAGTACAATTGAACGTATTCCAGCCAATCTTAGCATGAAGTTGTTACTTTTTTTAGTTTTCCCCAAAATCTCTTCATTAGCATGAAGTTGAAACATTTATTGATAGGGAAAGATGCCTACAATATTATTTGGTATCAAAAAAGTAAATGCAGAAGAGTGTGTCTGCAATTCATTTTCAGTAAAACTACAAGTTTATGATCATATACTAGTTGGTATATGCTATTTGCATAAAGTAATAATTACCCTGAGACTAGAAACAGTAAGAAAGTTATTTACTTTTACCTTTCCTCTTTAAGTGACAATTGAATATTAAGGGGTGGAGGAGGAACCTAGACCAGAAGTTTACTCACCTGTCTCTCCTGCCTTCAATAAAAAGTATTCCCGGTATTTTATATGAATTTCACTTTAACATGAAAGGAGCTACAATATGTTTTGAATCAGACTTTATGACAGAAATACTGTAATTAATTATTTGAATTTCCAGACACCTTATATTAAAGATATGATACATGATGCTTCATTATATTATTTTGTTTAAACTAACATAATGTCTCAACAAATAAATGCTGTTTTCCAGAGTCTACTGCATATTGTGGGCCCCCTCCATCTATTAACAATGGAGATACCACCTCATTCCCATTATCAGTATATCCTCCAGGGTCAACAGTGACGTACCGTTGCCAGTCCTTCTATAAACTCCAGGGCTCTGTAACTGTAACATGCAGAAATAAACAGTGGTCAGAACCACCAAGATGCCTAGGTGAGTTCTTAATATTCTCTTGGAATCTGAGATTTAATATTTATAGTGTAATTTTTTTGGACTAATTTCATAGAATAACCCTTACTTAAGTTTCATTCAGTCAAAATCTTTCCTGTCAAATGTAAATACATACAAGGAAACATTTGAAAAATTTGCTTTATGCAAAGTGAGAAAAATTTATTTAAAAACTATAAATAAAATTTTAAAGACCTACATGTGATAAGGTGCATTATGAAATTCTGTAGAGTCCAGAGCTATTTATGGGGCCTATTCGCACTCCATTAAATTGTTTCATGTTATAAGCATCTACCTGAGAACTTCTCACAGAGACCCTTTGAAAAACACTGGTCTAGGAAAACTGTCATTTAATACTATATAAGGTTCTACTTGTAAACCTGAAAGCTTTCCCTAGTAGAACACCTAGTTGACTAATACTGACATGGCTTTTTACTTGCATGTTGGCAGAATTTCTAGCAGGAGAGATAGAAAATCTGGAAGAGTTACTGAGCCACTTTCTAAATCTTCACTATCCCTTCTTTTCACCCTATTTTTTTCTACTACAAAATAATGCCAATATACATATTAAGTTTCCACAAATTCATGTGCACTTTGTGGCATTAAAAAAATTAACATCGTAGACTCCTTATGAAAATTTGGAGATTCACTTTTAGGGCTTAAAAGGAGATTCTTTTATCGGTCATGACAAACTAAAAGGGACAAAATACAAAGATATGGGGCGAATTAATAACACCAATTATGGGAAAAGCATGAACGTCAGTTTACTCTATAATAAGTGGAAGAAAACTGGAATTTCCATAAACCCCTCTGTTTTCTGGTGTCCAAAAGAGACACCATGGTAATAAGGATCTGTTCCTGCAACAGTTCTCACTGTTGCCCAATACCTCACAGGGCTAGACCAGAAGTTTGTTATAGTCTTGAAAATTCATCCTTCTGACGATGTCTCTTTCTTCCACCTTCTGTAGTAACAAATTACCCCAATGCCACTATGGCCTATACAGTGCTTCAAACCACTACTCTGTGTGAGCCCCTCTCCCAGGATATCATTAAAATTGTGTGGGAACTGAACTCAGAAAGTGTTGAGTTAGTATAAGGCAGAAGTATCATCTGAACAATTTTGCTAGAATGAAGAAAAACTAGGTTTCAAAGATAACTTCTAGGATTTAACTTGGAGTGATTGATGGATAGACAAAAATGCCATTATCTAATATTTTAAGTACAGCCAAGTTTTAGATGGTCCAATAATTTAAAATTCGCAGAAATTATCATGGCCAGTGATCATAAAATAAATTTCCAAAAGAAAAGTAAGAACAAAATTTGTAACCTAAAAAGTGTGTACCATGTTGACAATCAGAGTTTGTGGGAAGGGCATTCTAGCAAAAAGAAACAGTATTTTGAACAATAACAAACACAAACACACAATCACGAAAACAAACAAGCAAAAAAACCCATCATAGATATCTGGAAAATTCAAGGAAACATGATCTAACTATGAAATGTAAAATAATTTTATTTCCCATGAGATAGGAGATTAAGATTAGACAGCTCTGAAGAAATAATTTTTTCCAGCCAGGCATGGTGGCTCACGCCTGTATTCCCAGCACTTTGGGAGGCCAAGGCAGGAAGAATCACCTGAGGTCGGGAGTTCGAGACTAGCCTGACCAATATGGAGAAACCCCATCTCTACTAAAAATACAAAATTAGACAGGCATGGGTGGCACGTGCCTGTAATCTCAGCTACTCGGGAGGCTGAGGCAGGAGAATCATTTGAACCTGGGAGGTGGAGGTTGCAGTGAGCCGAGATTGCACCATTGCACTCCAGCCTGGGCAACAAGAGTGAAACTCCGTCAAAAAAAAAAAAAGATATAATTTTTTCCAAAACCAGACATAAATTTATTTGGATGGTTCATGGGTATTGAATGAAGTAGGGAGCCATTACATATTTTTAATAGCAGTTTTTTGACATAGCATCTTTTTTTATTTTTATTTTTTCAAGACAAAGTCTTGCTCTGTCACCCAGGCTGGAGCGCAGTGGCGTGATCTCGGCTCATTGCAACCTCCGCCTCCTGGGTTCAAGCGATTCTCCTGCCTCAGCCTCCCGAGTAGTTGGGATTACAGGCACATGCCACCATGCCCGGCTAATTTTTGTATTCTTAGTAGAGACAGGGTTTCACCCTGTTGGCCAGGCTGGTCTTGAACTCTTGACCTCATGATCCACCCGCCTCGGCCTCCCAAAGTGCTGTGATTACAGGCGTGAGCCACCACGCCCGGCCCAATGTAGTATTTTTAAATTATCAGTTGACTAAGAACATGTGGTTATTTTACACCGAGAAAACATGCAATATGGGGAAATTGTTTAAGGCCCTGGCAGAGATAGATTAGAGTCTTGACTAGTAGGTAAAAAACAGGAACCAAATGAAAGAGGGGTTAAAGATAACTTCAAAATTTCTCGATTTATGGAGAATATTCTCAGGTGCTTAACACATAAGAATTTTTACAAATCAATCAAAATTCAGTATAAAAATTATGTAAGGTACATAAACAGAAAATGAAAAACATATGGCAAACATGAAAGAATGCTTGTCTACACGAACATAAAATTTCAGTGAAGTGTCAATGTTCAACTAGGAGATCGGCAAAAAGAAAAAAGTATATAACATAAAGACTTGGCAAGGATGTGGAGAGTTAAGCACTCTAATATACATACAAGTGTATAATTACATATACATGTGTGTATATGTAATATAAATATATTACATATTACATATATTTTTAACATATATGTATACACATATACATATGTAACATATCTAAATATACATAAGTATGTATGTATAATATATGTATACTTATATACACATGATACATATACATACAATATATGTATACATATAATATACATATAATATGTTATGTATAATATATTATATTATACATTATATATAATCCATATATTATACATAATATACCGATATATATTTATACATTAGATATAAATTGATTACATTACATTAGATATAAATTGTATGTAACATGTATACAATTAACGTACATATATTACAATTAACATACATATAAATGTATGTTATATATACACATTATATTATGTATTATGTATTATATATTATATATAAGATATATATAAATATATATATAAAGTGCTGATTTTAAGAAAGAGTGAGTGATATCTGGGGTCAGGGAAGAAGATAACATTGTTTTTTCTACAGAAATCAAGGTTTCACAAAGTTAAGATTCACAAATAATTACATTATAAAAAGGGATATCTAAACAAACAACATTCATGCTGGTAGAATTTTTAGTAAAGTATAGCAATTAAGAGCTCAGGTTCTGAACTCATACTGGCAGGATGCATATTCTGGCTCAAAACACTCACTAAACTGTGTAGCCTTGAGAAAATCTCTTAGCATTTATTTCCTCATATGTAGCCCATACACAGTGCTAAGAACAGTACCAAGAATAACTCAATAAATATTATTTTTTAAATAAATATTAATATTTTTCATCATTTTAATTCCAAAATATTCTTAAATGCAATTTCACTATTCTATGAAAGGTAAAGATGTATTATTATTTATTTATTTTATTTTACCATTTCTTCTTTCAGATCCATGTGTGGTATCTGAAGAAAACATGAACAAAAATAACATACAGTTAAAATGGAGAAACGATGGAAAACTCTATGCAAAAACAGGGGATGCTGTTGAATTCCAGTGTAAATTCCCACATAAAGCGATGATATCATCACCACCATTTCGAGCAATCTGTCAGGAAGGGAAATTTGAATATCCTATATGTGAATGAAGCAAGCATAATTTTCCTGAATATATTCTTCAAACATCCATCTATGCTAAAAGTAGCCATTATGTAGCCAATTCTGTAGTTACTTCTTTTATTCTTTCAGGTGTTGTTTAACTCAGTTTTATTTAGAACTCTGGATTTTTAGAGCTTTAGAAATTTGTAAGCTGAGAGAACAATGTTTCACTTAATAGGAGGGTGTCTTAGTCCATATTACATTGTTATAACAGAGTATCACAGACTGGATAACTTCTAACCAATAGTTTATTTGTTTCATAAATCTAAAAGCTGAGAAGTCCAAGATGGTGGGGCTGCCTCTGGTGAGGGTCTTCTCGAAGCATCATAATATGCTGGAAGGCATCACAACATGGTGGAAGGGATCACGTGGCAAAAGAGCATGTACATGGGAGTGAGAGAAAAAGAGAGAGAGAGACAGAGTGGCGGGGGCGGGGAGGAGCGCAAACTCATCCTTTATAAAGACACCACTCCTGAGATAACAATCCAATCCCATGATAATGACATTAATCCATTCAAGAAGATAGAGCTCTCGTGACTTAATCACCTTCTAAAGATCTCACCTGACAACACTGTTGCATTGGCAGTTAAGTTTCCACGTAAACTTTCGGGGACACATTCAAACCACAGGAGAAACTCAAATTGTTCCTGGGCAAATCACAACATGGGGAATTTTATTCATAAATGTCCACAGAAACAGTAAATGTTCTCGCTTCAGTACTTAATTCATCTAATCCCTCCTGTTTGTCTCAAATTATAGGATAACTTTGAAACTTTCTGAATTAACGTTATTTAAAAGGAAATGTAGATGTTATTTTAGTCTCTATCTTCATGTTATTATCACTTAAAAACCTGCGAAAGCTGTCAACTTTTGTGGTTGTAGCAAGTATTAATAAATATTTATAAATCCTCTAATGTAAGTCTAGCTACCTATCCAATACTAAATACCCCTTAAAGTATTAAATGCACTATCTGCTGTAAAAGAATAGACTTTGAAATGGGTTTTTTTTGTTTTTTTTTTTTTGAGACGGAGTCTCCCTCTCGCCCAGGCTGGAGTGCAGTGGCGCGATCTCGGCTCACTGCAAGCTCCGCCTCCCAAGTTCACGCCATTCTCCTGCCTCGGCCTCCCGAGTAGCTGGGACTACAGGCACCCGCTACCATGCCCGGCTAATTTTTTTGTATTTTTAGTAGAGACGGGGTTTCATCATGTTAGCCAGGATGGTCTCGATCTCCTGACCTTGTGATCCGCCCACCTCGGCCTCCCAAAGTGCTGGGATTACAGGCGTGAGCCACCGCGCCCAGCCAAAAGAATAGACTTTGAAGTTTTAACCAGTCTTTCTGTGGAGTTTCTAATCTAGTCAAGAGGTGATGTACATATACAAAAAGGTGAAAATTATTAGGTTACAAAATTGCATATATAGAATTATCTGGATGTGTATAAATGGTTATAGAAGAAAGAGTGAGAGAAAAAAAATGATGGCTTTAATAATTCTATGTGGTTTAGGTTTAAAAAATTAAAATAGTCTGGGCACAGTGGCTCAAACCTGTAATCCTAGAACTTTAGAAGGCCAAGGCAGGTGGATTGCTTGAGGCCAGGAGTTCAAGACCAGCCTGTCCAACATGGCAAAACCTTGTCTCTAATATAATACAAAAAAATAGCCAGACAGGGTAGTGCACACCCGCGATTCCACCTACTTGGGAGGCTGAGGCATGAGAACCACTTGAACCTGGGAAGCAAAGGTTGCAGCGTGCCGAGATCATGCCACTGCACTCTATCCTGGGTGACAGAGCAAGACTCTGTCCCAGAGAAACAAAGAAAGGAAGGGAAAGAGAGAGAGAGAAGAAGAAAAAGAAAGAGAGAGGAAGGAAGGAAGGAGGGAAGGAAGGAAGCAGGGAAAGAAGGATGGGAGGGAAGGAGGAAGGGAGGGAGGGAGGAATATTTTCAAATTCTTCACGTTGTCCCAAATTTCATATTTTTCATTTTGAACATATATTACTTTCATATTCAGAAGAGAGTGATCAAAACTGTCACTAACGAACAAGGCAATAGAAGATGGGTATAAAGACCATGTTGGTCATGATGCTGATTTCATGCAACAACTTTATTATTTTTTTATGTACCATAGTTTGGGAAAATACTACACAGGAAGTATTAGAAATATACTTTAGATATTCCTGTATTTCACACAGCATTTCTTAGTTAAAATATTTTTGGTCAGAAGGTTTTTTTAAGTAGCCTGGGACGGAGGTTGCAGTGAGCCAAGATGGTGCCACTGCACTCCAGCCTGGGCAACACAGTGAGACTCTGTCTCAAAAAACAAAAAAGGTTTTTTTAAAGTATCTATTAAAAATATGACTACTAATACAGGTAAAAATTAAGACTTAAAATATTCATCACCACAGATTTGACAATGGATTCTTAGATATCACACCAAAACCACAAATAAGAAAATACAAAGTACAGAAATTGGATTTTCTCAAAATTTAAAATGTCATGCTTCAAAGGATACTATTAAAAAAGGAAAATAGAACTCACACAATGGGAAAAAATATTTGCAAAATTGCATATGTCATAAAGGACTTGTATCTAGAATATATGTAAGGAACTTTTACAACACAGAAAAAAAGAGAAATAAGACAATTTCAAAATAAGCAAAGGATTCAAATAGATATTTCTCTAAAGAAGATATATAAATTGCCATTAGGCACATGAAAAGATGTATAACATCATTAATTATTAAGTAAATATGAATCAAAACCACAGTGAGATAACACTTCACACCCTCAAAGATGGGTGTCATCAAGAAGTCAGATAATAACAAATGATGTCAAGGAAGTTGGAAGCAACATACACTTCTGGTGGGGATATTAAATGGTTTGGTCAATTTGGAAAACAACCTGCAGTTTTTAAAAAAGTTAAACAATAGGATTGCCATTAACTCAGCAGTCTACTCCTAGATACATACCCAAGATAAATTTTTAAAAATGTGTCCACGAAAACACTTGTACACATATGTTTATGGCAGCATTATTTGTGTTAGCCAAAAGGAGGAAACAATCTAAATGCTCATCAATTGATGAATGGGTAAACAAAATGTGGTATATCTAAACAATGGAATATTATTTGGGCATGAAAAGGGAATGAAGTAATAATAGATGCTATAACATGGATGAACCTTGAAAATATTCTGCTAAGTGTAGGAAGCCAGTCACAAATGACCACATATTATGATTCCATTTTTATGGCATGTCCAGACTAGGCAAACCTATAGAGATAGAAGGTAGACCTGTGGTTGGTTAGGGTTGGAGCTGAGGAAGAGAGGTTAGAAGCTGATAGCCAAAGTGTACAGAGTTTCTTTTTTGAGGCGATATTCTAAAGTTGATTGTGGTAATTGTTGTAATACTCTGTGATTACACTAAAAAAAACATTAAATTATACCCATTAAGTGGGTGAATTGTATGTTATGTAAATTATATCTCAAAGACATTACAAAAAATAGTAGTCAATGTTTAAAATTCATGAGGATACATTGGAAATTTAAAAACTAAAAATGATTTTAAAATTTAGGCTTAGTAGCAGAATGTAGAAAAAATTATCTGGGGTTGAATAAAAAAATAAGAATTTGTTACTTACACTTTCTATCTATCTGAAACAGCTGGCTTCATGTCTAGGAAGAAGGCAGGTAACAGTTTTCAATTCTGAGGGGGAAATCTTGAATACAAATATTACCAAAAACTTAAAAAAAGCATAAAAGTGTTTTATTCCAAGTACAATCTTAACCTTATTTTATTTTATTTTATTTTACTTTATTTTATTTTTTATTTTTGTAGTGATGAGGCCTTACTATGTTACCCAGGGTGGTCTCAAAGTCCTGGCCTCAAGCCATCCTCCCACCTCAGTCTCCCAAAGTGTTGGGATTACAGGCAAGTGCACCACACTGTTCCTGTAACAGTATTTTAAACTTGAACATTCCCTCTCAGTTCCTGAGAATTTTTCTAAGTTTTTCAAGCTATTCTGTGACACATTCCAAATCAAGGTGTTTGAACAACAATATAGGGCTTGTTGATAATGTTTGCTACCTTTACCTTACTACTTCCCTGTATAAAGGATAAAGGAAGCCAAACAAGCAAAAGGACTAAAATTAGAAGTTACAGAAAATATTTTCTTGCAGATATTTGTCAGGCATTGTGAGTACCACAACCACTTTTCTTGGGGAAGATGGGTAGAGCTTCATTCCCCATTCCCTCCAGTCTAATAAGAAGGGCTTCAAAGAGATTACTTGGGTGGATTAATCAAGAAAAGATTGACAAAGTACCCCTACTTGGCTCACCCCCCTACTGGAAATCTAAATCCTTTTTTTACAAGAGAGTAAAATGGTATGCAGGTGAAAAAAATGAATTCCTGGAACCAAAACATAAAATGCAAAGGTTGATAGGACTATAAAATGAAAGTTGAAATGTTTAAGCAGGTTTTATGTAAAGTAGTTGTGTATCCTTTAACTAAATGTTTCGTGGAAATGGATATTATGCCTGACTGAGGAATGTTTCCCCTACCTAGTACTGTAAAACAGGACATATAAATCCACCCTATGAGCAATATTAACTGAACATGCTAAGTGGGAGCTAGTAAGATTGTCCAAGGCTAGAGTTTAGGGTGAAAGCTGAGAGTGCTGGTAGGGATGAATCCTCCACTTGATAGCCCTTTGTGGAATGTTCACTAGGACTGATGGCAAAAGCCTGTGAGTGCCTCCCAACAGCGACTACTAGCGCTTTGGAGGAGAGAATTTCCACTTTAGGGGCATTTACGGCATTGCTATGGGAAAATACCCCTCTGCAAGTGAAAACAGCAGTGCACAGAAGACTTCCATGATAAAATGGAAATGATTCTTATAGGATCTTGCTACTTGGGGAGCACAAGGAGGAGATTCTAAGAATCAGGGAGCTATTTTTTCCTCTAGGACTGACTTTTTCCCCTGTGATTCAATTCCCACTTGACTTATGGATGACAATTTAAAGGTGAACAAACGACATCCTGTTTAGAAGCTGCTACTCTGTTTGAAAAAGCGTCAAGAAAACCTTTCTCTTTTGAGCTATTTATAGCTTACCAAGCTTGAGTACAGTATTTTTTGCGAGCAAAATTTACCTTCTCTCTATCCAAGATCTCCAAAACTTGGAAACTATTCATAAGTATTCTTCTTTTAGAGAAATATAATTATTTCCATAAGTTCAGTAAGAATCTGTTTTATTTTGTAACAGGATATAACTGGAGACACTAGTTATTTTATCAAGACTTTGACTTAAATGGCATATTTTCAGATATGACCAGACTGAGGAATTGAGGCCAACTTTATAGAGCCAATAAAAAGCCCCTTGGAAAGGCTGGCCTAGTACCTTGTCTAAGTGATTCCCATGCAAGGTTTCTGACTTGTAGTAAGTAAAAACAATGTCACTTTCAAAAAGGCCCAGGAGCCTCAGGATATTTGGGGACCCCAAGAGGCATGGAATTTGTACATGTATAAGAAGCACAGTCTAATGGTGAGTCCTTGGCTTAGCTTCTGGCCTTGAGGCTTTTAAAAAGTCAAATCTAGGCCAGGCGCGGTGGCTCATGCCTGTAATCCCAGCACTTTGGGAGGCCGAGGCGAGCAGATGACAAGGTCAGGAGATCGAGACCAACCTGGCTAACACAGTGAAACCCTGTCTCTACTAAATATACAAAAAAATTAGCTGGGCATGGTGGCGGGCACCTGTAGTCCCAGCTACTCGGGAGGCTGAGGCAGGAGAATGGTATGAACCCAGGAGGCAGAGCATGCAGTGAGCTGAGATTGTGCCACTGCACTCCAGCCTGGGCAACAGAGCGAGACTCCATCTCACACACACACAAAAGAAGTCAAATCTAAAACTCCTTACAAAAGTTCCAGCCAAACCAACTTAAAAGACTTCTAAATGGCTGATCGCTATTCTTGCTGTACTTCATGCAAATGACCAGGGCAAATATAATGAGACCAAAATTTATTTTGCAAATAAATTGGCCTGCTTTCATTTATTATTGGTAGAAATGGGAAAACTGGAGAGAGAAAAATTTAGATTCTAGCCCTGGCAACTGTTTCTGAATTTTTATTATCTGTCTACAATCTGGGCTAAATCCTGAATTATTTCCTGGCTGCAACAAGTCTCAAGAAGAACCAGGTTTTAATTTTCCTTGTGATGCTTTAAGTTGACTCCTTTATGGAATGGGTTCTTTTTTGTTGTTATTCTGGCATACAAATTCTCTCTTTATTGTAATCCTCTGTGCATAGTATTTCTACCATTCAAATTATTATTGTTATGTATCTCTCATTGTTTTACTTCTTTCAAGAAAATGGAAGTCATGGTATCCTAGAGATGATTCAACAGAGCCTGTGAATCTCACCCATTTGAAATCTTACTGGGCCCCGACTCGTTTTTCACTGCCAATACACTGCTGCTAAAGCTATATAGTATCAAGCACCTTCCCTAAAGTTTCAGGGATCATCTTAGAAGAGGAGGGCGCTTGAGATTGTAAGAGCTGGACTAGATGAGTGGAATGTGGAGGCCAAAGTAACTCCGTCTTAGAAGCTAAACTGCCTTGTTGGCTTCTGATTAACTTCAGAAGCAACTTCTGTTGCTCCTTGTGTAAGAGCAGGTACTTACCATCAATCCTGTCCTTAGGTAAAACAACCTTGAAGTTATTGTACTTCAATTGTCCTACACATCCCTTCTGAACCACCCCTCCTGTGGGGTATGTAAGCCCTGAGACTGAGGGATAATGGCTCAGAGATCCACCATCTTGTCTCTCTGCCACTTCTGACACAGACATGGCTCTGTTCATTAAATCTGTATTAAATGTTTCTTTCTAAGAAAAAAAAAAGAGATTACATGGAAGCCTTGATATTTATTTCACCAGACCTGTCTGGCTTATGACTGAGAGAAATTAAAGAAAAACATAAAGAGAAACAGGCAGAGAAAATAGTCAGAGACAAAGGAGAGATAAATTGTCTTGAAGCCAACTTAAAAGTACATTGTCCAAAAGGCAGCATATTCTAATTAGAAAAAGAAGAGTCAGCAAGGCATTGGAATGCAGTGAAAGCACCAGGTTCCAAAGGGCTGAGTTGTTTTAATAACTATCCACAAATGTATCACCCTAACTTTTCTTCTTCTACTATGGCCCCGAAGGAGTTGAAGGCCATAATAAGTTGGAGGGGACAGTGAGTGGGAAAAACTTCCAGGGATAAAAGAAGAGTCCACCATATCCCCTATTCCCACTACATCTTCCATTTCAGGAGATCAGTGTTGGAGGGAAAGAGAAACTTTACCTTGAACCAAACTCAGATGTCTGATTATTATATTGAATTGGACTTACAAATATTTTTTGTCATAAAGGTCTAATAGACAATGTTGCAGATTTCCTATGGTATCACACCACAAATTTCTGATGCAAAGATTGAGCCTGAATAAGGTTGAGGAAGGACTGAGTTGTACAGTCATGTTTTTTCTTCTGTCTATAAAAAAATAAACTGTGTGCTGTTGCAAGTGAACAGAGCAAATGTCCAGTTCCTGTGATATATTTATGTATTAACCCACATTGAGTTCTAAAGAACAGCAACATGGTAAAGCCTACTTTTCTGTCTATTATACATTTTCCCACCAACATTCTGTTATGATAAGTATTCATATAGAATATTTGAACAAACATCCCCACTTAACAATTGTTGAATCATCTAAATTCATCAATCATTAATGTTTTACCCTATTTGCTTTTTCAATGGCTTCAGTTATCTATCCAGTAATAGAAATCTGTCTATACTTTCATTGAACCAAATCAAACTAAGTTGCTGACATTCTGACAATTCATCGTATCATATTCCACATTTTCAAAAATGCATTATTTAAAATCATAAGAATAGGAGTTCCTCCATCAGTGGTGCACTGCATTATTTTGGCTTAACCCTCTTGTTGGCCGCACTACAAATATTTGAAAAATATTTGTAAAATTTGTTGGAAGTCAGCAGTGCACTACTGAGACATTTAAGCATTACAGGGCCAAGACATAATAGAGAAATTACCTCAGCATTTAGGGGGCACTTTTTCTCTCATAGCAATTGCTGATTTGAAAGTAGCAGTATAAAGACTAAGAAGATTAACATCTATTTTTCCAAAATAGAGATCTTCTGCATGAATCTTAAGCCATGGTATTTACAGAAGATGGAGTGGAATGCCAGTTTAGCAGGATTATGGCTCCCTCTGCCTTTGTGGCCTAAACCGATGCCATTGGGATTGCCTTTCCTTTTCCAGGAAGAGCTTCCTTCCTTCCTTTGGTCAAAGACAGAAACTTTTAAAATGTAGCCTTTCAACATCCTCATAGTTTAGGTATTCTTTTGGAACTCAGATATTTTAGTTTAATTTAAAATTTCTAACATGGATTTATTTTCTCTCTTCTTTCCTCCTAGTGATTGTCTTCTCTCTACCAACAAAGGTTTTTCCGAGGTATTCCTTCAAACTCCGCGCCATTACCTAGTCCACTGTTATCAACAAAATCACAGTAATTTACTAGGGGCTGTGTCATTTCTGCACAATAATTTTTTTTCACAGAATCACAGTATTTCCTCAAGATGTATTGTCAAAAATTAGTCAATAATGAATCTCATCCCTCAATTTCAATGTATAAGTAATGCAGTTTCTCTTATAGAATTTTATTTACATCCTAAATCCTTATTCTTTTGAGAGAGAAACTAAATCTCAATCAAGTTGGGATTAACTACTATTTCAGAAGCTGCTAAAAATAATTCCCCAATATTTGCTCTCTATTTCTTCCTTTTATAAATAAAACCCTCCAAGTTTCTCTGCCTAGGTATATGACACAATAGTGGAACACTGCAGTTTCCTCCTTTTTTCTAGGTCCACACTGGTTTGAGTTCTGGCCAATGCCATATGAGTGGAAATAATTTGTTCCCTTGTTTGTCACAGCATTAAAAGGAATCTCGTTGCTTGTCACTTCCTCTTTCCTTTTTCCGAAGGGGTAGAACACAGATGTACTGGCGGTGAGCCATCTCGGATCATGTTGATAAAGCAGCCCGCTGAAGAATAGTAAAGCAATAAGACAGAAGATACTTGAATCCCTAGCTGGTATGATCCAAGCTTGTATGATCCAAACTATGCCATGTCAGTTTCTGGACCCAAATCTTAAAGACTGTGGCCGCTTCCACTTCCTGTCTCTTGGAATACTTCCTATCAGAGAAAGTCCAAACAGCCCTGTTGAGAGGCTCATGTGCAGTGGAACTGCAGCTCCTACTGTACAGCCTCAGCTGATCTTCCAGCCAACAGCCAGCACCATCTTGCTAGCCATGTGAGTCAGCCATCTTAAAAATAGATATTCCGGTCCTAGTCACGTCACCTCAACTGAAAGCTTGTGGATTAGAGAAGCACCATCCTGTCAATCCCTGCCCAAATTTCAGGTTTGTGAGTAAATTTGCTTTTTGTTTTAAGCCAATCTTATAAGTTTGCAGCGGTTTGTTATGCAGTAATAGATAGCTAGAATGCCATTAAATACATTATTAAATGAAAAATGCATTGAATAATTCCCTGTAAATGTTAAGAATAATGAATACATACTTGACAAAGAGCATCGGTAGCTACTTTTTAATCAAAGGACAGCTTACCCTTAGAATGATGAGAATTAAGAAAAATAAGGTTTAGTAACGTCAGTTACTTACGAATAATTGCAAACTCCATTTATGACATACAAGGCCCTTCTTGTTTGACTTCAAATTACTTATCCAACTCTACCTTCCATTAGTCTCCAAAAATATGCCATAAAATAATTAATATTGTTCTGCCAGTTCTCTATGCTTTTTCACTTTGATCATGTTATTCTCTCTCAAGGCTCCTCCTAAATTCCCACATGCAGACTGAATAATTCCTGTTGACATATGTTACACTGACAGTATAACTAAATCCAAACCTGATTAAATCCCAGGAATTGATGTTATCTCCCCTCGCAATCAGAAAAAAATATCTGTTTAGTTGCATACCAAGCAGAAGACGTGGTGATTATTTATTTGGTAATGATGATCTGAGAAAAATCAAATGATTGCTTTAGCCTTGGTTTTTGTTTTATACCCATTTATTAATATTTTCTTTTGCTTTCGAGACTAATGTATAGTTTAAAAGTCTTAGAGCAAAAATTATGTATCAAAAAAATTTATCAAATAAAACTGTTGCAAGTATGCTTCTTTGCAGAGCAAATGGTAACCTGTAATTTCAGGATATTGTTCATATCCATCAGTTTGGATTTTTGTTGGTGTTTTATAAAAGGCACTTGATTTTTGTCATTCTTTTTTTTTTTTTTTTTTTTTTCTGCAAGACAAGAGTCTCACTCTGTCGCCCAGGCTTGAGTGCAATGGCACGATCTTGGCTCACTGCAACCTCCACCTCCCACGTTCAAGCAATTCTTCTGTCTCAGCCTCCTGAGCAGCTGGAACCACAGGCATGCACCACCACACCTGGCTAAGTTTTTGTATTTTTAGTAGAGAAGGGGGTTTCACCATGTTGGCCAGGCTAGTCTTGAACTCCTGACCTCAGGTGATCTGCCCATGTCTGCCTCCCAAAATGCTAGGACTACAGGTGTGAGCCACAGTGCCTGGCCCAGTTGTTGTCATTCTTTATTCCCTAAGAAATATTTCTTTTTAAAAGACATAGAAATAAAATGAGATAAAATACAAAACTTAAGTTGGTATTAGACAGAGATAATAATCTACCTTAAATATCCCTTGATTTAATTTTTTTAGATTTTTACATATATAATACAAAAGAGGAGACAAGATATTTTAGACTAGAAAGAACAAGATGACATATGATAAGTTATAAAGTATTTTATGTGGGGAAATATTATTGAATTTTATTAATTAGTAAAATACATATTTTTTCTCTCAATTATTTTATTGGCAGTGACTTAACCTCTTTTAACATTTGAACCTTTACTATAAACAAAGATGAAGGCAATACGTAAAATAAATTAAGATGTACTTGCTGAAGCTGGTGGGGAGGTGGTTGAAAGGAAAAAAGCAAGGAAGAGGGAAGACAGGGCCTACTGACTTTCTTCCTGCAGTGTCATCCAAGGGGAGGCATGATATGCAATTGTATGTCATTGCTTTGCAATCAGGTCTTTCTAAAACTACAGTGTAAAAGTTAGGAATTATGAGTTCAGGCCAAATAATTATTCTTTGTTCTCAAAAAAAAGAGTTTCTGCCATGCTGATTTCTTCAAAGCAGTGCCTCTACTAATTTCGAACTAGAACTGGAAAGCTTTGAAAATTATCATAAGAATATTATTTATTTGATTTACTATCTTCTCTATGTCCTAGCTAAGCTAGAATTGAACTGGACTTTAAAGCAATTTAAGAATAATAGAGTGTGTCATCATTCTAAATGTAAATTTTAGGTGTTATGTTATCTAGCAGACTTATTTCTTCAGAAAATAAGAAGAATATGACCACAGAGTACTTGAGTACCAAAAGGACTTTCAGGTTATAACTGTTAAATTAGCAGTTCTAGCACTAATGGCATAATTATAAAATTGGGCATTCAGCATTTACTAATGTACTTTTGTCATTAGAAAGTCAAAAATGGTTGGATTCTGGTCACATTTATTCCTAATTGGATCTTATGGGAATTAACATTTATTGATTTATGTCTAGATTTATCATTTCAGCTGAATTGCAAATACATCAAAGAAAGCACACTAGGTTTATATTGTAGACATCCTACATGAGGCCTTGAAACAATATTCGTAGATCCATTATCTACTAGACATATAATACGAAAAAGTCATACATGATGACTGAATCAAGTCTGAAAAATGATTTAATTACTAATTACCTAAGTGAAAATTCTTTTAACACAATGTATAACATTTTTCTTCTTTATGAACAAACTTTGCTATCTGATTCTCACGCCACCCTTGCCAAACTAGTGGAATCCAACACCCAATCTAGCCAATCGCCTCATCAAGTCAGCCCTCACCCTTCCCCCTTCAAGCCATGGGGTTTCTGATAAGTAGAGATCTACTATACTCCTACGTAGTCTACTATTTCTTTGCCTTAAATCTGAAGCCTGGCAGAAGAGTTGTTTGGAGCTCCTGCTACAACTATTATCCAATAGATAGCAGAACATTGCATTCAGTCACCTATACTCCTGCCACCACCCCTGAGCCTAGAGGGCTACATTGCCAGACCCAAGATTCCACTCTAACACTTGACATTATTGGACCAACATCATTTGTGTAACATTTCCCTGGTGATTTCAGTCACTAAAGGAAGTCCAAGATCTACTAGATCATACATTTCCAAGCTCTCATCCAATAATGCTTTATTTTATTTACTATTACTATTATTATTACTTTGTGGCAAGGTCTCAATCTGTTACCCAGACTGGAGAGCAGTGGTGTGATCATGGCTCACTTCAGCCTCAACCTCCCACGTTCAGGTGATCCTCTCACCTCCTCCTCCCAAGTAGCTAGGACTACAGCCACAAGCCACCATACCCAGCTAATTTTTGCACTTTTTGTAGAGATGGGGTCTCACTGTGTTGCCCAGGCTGGTCTCAAACTCCTGGGATCAAGTGACCTGCCCACCTCAGCCTCCCAAAGTGCTGGGATTACAGGCATGAGCTACTGCGCCCAGCAATAATGCTTAATCTTATTTCTCTATGAGATTCTTCCTTCTGTCTCAAAATCTCTGGAACCCATGGTCATTGAGCAACAAACTTTCTTATGTCTTCATCCTCTTCTCAAGAAATTACAAGCTCCTTCACATAAGGCAAACTTTGCTCTCTCCTTTGTGGACACTGCTTTCTCTATATTCCTCTCAAACTGAGATTGTCTGTTAACATGCACCCACTCTTCTTGGGACATGGAATCAATGTCCTTACTGATCTTCGTATTTTCTCTCAAATTATTATTCTGTTTCTTTCCTTCCTTTAAAATCCCCTTCTTGAAAACTCATTCTTTTCAACGTTACCACTTGCCAGAATGTTTGCTGCTGTTATGGTTTGCCTCCGTGTCCCCATCCAAATCTCATCTTGAATTGTAAACCCCGCATGTCAAAGGAGGGACCTGGTGGGAGTTGATTGCATCATGGGGGCAGTTTAACCCATGCTGTTCTTGTGATACTGAGTGAGTTCTCTTGAGAGCTGATGGTTTTAAAGTGTTGCATTTCCTCTCTCTCTCTCCCTCTCTCTCTCTCTCCCTCCTGCCACCATGTGAAAAAAGTCCTTGCTTCCTCTTCACCTTCTGCGATGATTGTACATTTCCTGAGGCCTCCTTAGCCATGCAGAACTGTGAGTCAATTAAACTTCTCTCCTTTATAAATTACCCAGTCTCCAGTAGTTCTTTATAGCTGTGTAAAAACAAACTAATACAGAAAATTGGTGCTGGGAGTGGGGCACTGCGATAGAGATACCTAAAAATGTGGAAAAGACTGGAACTGGGTAAAGGGCAGAGGCTGGAATAGTTGGGAGGGCTCAGAAGAAGAAAGAAAGGTGTGGAAAATTTGGAACTTCCTGGGGACTGGTTGAATGGTTTTGACCAAAATGCTGATAGTGATATGGACAATGAAGGTGGTCTCAGATGTAGATGAGGAACTTACTGGGAATTGGAAAAAAGGTCACTCTTGCTATGCTTTAGCAAAGAAACTGGCAGCATTTTGCCCCTGCCCTAGAGATCTGTGGAACTTCAAACTTGAGAGAGATGACTTAGGGTATCTGGTGGAAGAAATTTCTAAGCAGCAAAGTATTCAAGATATAACCTGGCTTTTTCTGAAAGCACACAGTCGTATGTGTTCACAAAGAGATTATTTGAAATTGGGACTTATGTTTAAAAGGGAAGCAGACCATAAAATTTGGAAAATTTGCAGCCTGACCATGCAATAGGAAAGAAAAATCCATTTTCTGGGGAGAAATTCAAGCCTGCTGCAGAAATTTGCATAACAAACAGCCAAATGTTAATAATCAAGACAAGGGAGAAAATGTCTCCTGAGCATTTCGGAGATCTTCACGGCAGCCCCTCCCATCACAAGCCTGGAAGCCCAGGAGGGAAAAATGGTTTTGTGGGCTGGGCCCAGGGCCCTGCTACTCTGTGCAGCCTTGGGACATGGCCCCTTGTGTCCCAGTCACTCCAGCTCCAGCAGTGGCTAAAACGGATCGAGGTACATCTTGGGCTGTTTCTTCAGAGGATGCAAGCCCCAAGCCTTGGTGGCTTCCAAGTGTTGGGGCTGCAGGTGTGCAGAAGATAAGAGTTGAGCTTTGAGAGCCTCTGCCTAAATTTCAGAGGATGTATGGAAATGCCTTGATGACCAGCCAGAAGTCTGCTGCAGGAGCAGAGCCCTCATGGAGAATCTCTACTAGGGCAATGCAGAAGGGAAACATGGGGTTGGAGCTTCCACACAGAGTCCCCACTGGGAGACTGCCTAGTGGAGCTGTGAGAATACGGTTACCACCCTCTAGATCCCAGAATGGTATATCCACCAACAGCTTGCATTGTGCACCAGAAAAGTCGCAGGCACTCAACACCAGCCTGTGAAATAAGCTGCGGGGGCTGTACCCTGCAAAGCCACAGGGGCAGAGCAGCCCAAGGCCTTGGGAGCCCACCTCTTGCATCATTGTGTTTTGGATGTGAGACACGGAATCAAAGGAGTTTATTTTGGTGCTTTAAGATTTAATAAGTGCCCTGCCAGTTTTCAGATTTGCATGGGGCCTGCAGCCCCTTTGGTTTGGCCAAGTTCTTCCATTTGGAATGAGAACATTTACCCAGTGCCTGTACCCCCATTGTATCTTGGAAGTAACTAACTTGTTTGATTTTAACAGCTCATGGTCAGAAGGGACTTGCTTTGTCAGATGAGACTTTGGAATTGGACTTTTGAGTTAATGCTGGAATGTGTTAAGACTTTGGGCGACTGTTGGGAAGGCATGATTGGTTCTGAAATGTGAAAAGGACATGAGATTTGGAAGAGACCAGGGGTGGAATGATATCGTTTGATTCTGTGTCCCCACCCAAATCTCATCTGAAATTGTAATCCCTACATGTCAAGAGAGGGACCTGGTGAGAGGTGATTGGACCATGGGGGTGGTTTCCCACATGCTGTTCTCATGATAGTGAGTGAGTTCTCATGAGAGCTAATGGTTTTATAGTGTGGTACTTCCTTGCTGTCTCTCTCTCTCTCTCTCTGTCTCTCCCCTGCTGCTATATGAAAAGGCCCTTGCTTCCCCTTTACCTTCTGCCATGATTGTAAGTTCTGAGGCCTCCCCACCCATGCAGAATTGTGAATCAATTAAATCTTTTTCCTTTATAAATTACTCAGTCTCCAGTAGCTCTTTATAGCAGTGTGAAAAAAGGCTAATACTGGTGTCATCGGTAAATGTTCTGAACTTTCCCCCTCAATCACTAATTACTAGTACCTCCTGGCTCAGTTTTCTTCCTCACTCCAAATCCTTTCATCTCTGTTAGCATTAATATCTGCTTTGTTGTACCACTCAACAAATTTGCTTCTCAATCCTTTATTGCCTCATCTCTGTTGCCACTTTTCTCGACTTTATGTTCCTATTGCCAAAGTACAGTCTTTCCCATCATCTGAAACTCCTCAATTTCCAAAGTCACAAATTCATATATTCTGCTCATTAATTACCATATTTATTTCTTCTGACTAGCTTACTCACACTTCCATGGAAATACTGTTTTAACACATTGATACTTTTAACTTAATGCCCCTACTACTTTCTCACATCCTTTAGTAGTCTCCAGTATTTACTCTTTCTTCATGTCTCTCTTCAAATTAAATAGCTCACATTCCAAATAATTCTTTTGCAAGCAATCTTAAATCTCTTGCCCCACTTTCCTTTTGATTGCACAGTCTAGCAAATACTCATGGCTGAATAAACTTACACATCCATCTTCTCCATTTATGTACATAAGCAGCCAAGTGTTGTAAAGAAAGGCAAAAAAAAAAAAAAGATTAGTATCTCTAAAAATTCATGACTCAGCACTGCTAAACAATCCTACTCTATCTTGTTTTTGTCTGCTTAGTACCCCACCACTTTGTTGTGATTAAGGCTCTACCCCCTTGGCAAAAGTACTGAACATGTCACGTAACTGTCCTGGGGATATTAACTGAGCACGCCCATTACTGTATCTTAATACCCCAGACTCTACTTTCATTTGGTGTGTTTGTGTACATTGAAAACTAAGAATCTGACAGAGTAGGGACTTTCATGATTTCTTTTTTTTTAATTTCAACTTTTATTTTAGGTTTAGGGGGTACATGTGCAGATTTGTTACATGGGCGTATTGTGTGATGCTGAAGTTTGCCATATGAATGATTCCGTCACCCAGGTAGTGAACATAGAACCCAATAGGTAGTTTTTCAGCCCTTTCCCTCTTCCCTTTCTCCCCTCCCTAGTAATCTGCAGTATTTATTGTTGCTCTCTGTGTGTCCGTAAGTACTCGATATTTAGCTCCCACTTATAAGTAAGAATATATAGTATTTGGTTTTCTGTTCCTGTGTTAATTCACTTAGGATAATGGCCTCTAGCTGCATCCATGTTGCTGCAAAGGACACAGTTTTTTTTCTTTTTGTGGCTGCATAATATTCCATGGTGTGTATGTACCACATTTTCTTTATCCAATCCACCATGGATGGGCACCTACATTGATTCCATATCTTTGCTATTGTGAATAATGCTTTGATGAACATATGCATGCATTTGTCTTTATGGTAGGATGATTTATAGCTCTTCAAGTATATATCCAGTAATGAGATTGCTGGGTCGAATGGTAGTCCTATTTTAAGTTCTTTGAGAAATTGCCAAACTGCTTTCCACAGTGGCTAAAGTAATTTACACTCCCACCAACAGGATATAAGTGTTCCCTTTTCTCCACAGACTCACCAGCATCTGTTATTTTTTTACTTTTTAATAATAAGCATTCTTACTCATGTGAGATGGCATCTCATTGTGATTTTGATTTGCATTTCTCTGATGATTAGTAATGTTGGGAGTTTTTTCATGTTTATGACTGATTGTGTATATTCTTTTGAGAAGTATCTGTTCATGTCCTTTGCCCATTTTATAATGGGGTTACTTTGTTTGTTGAATTAAGTTTCTTACAGATTCTGATGTTAAAACTTTGGCACATGCATAGCTTGTGAATAGTTTCTTCCATTCTGTAGGTTGTCTGTTTACCCTGTTGATGTGTTTGCTGTTGTTGCTGTTTTGCTGTGAAGGAAGCTTTTCAGTTTAACTAGGCCCCACTTGTCCATTTTTGGTATTGTTGCAATTGCTTTTGAGGACTTAGTCATAAATTATTTGCCAAGGTTGATGTCCAAAATAGTATTTCCTAGGTTTTCTTCTAAGGTTTTTATAGTTTGAGGTCTTACATTTAAATCTTTACTCCATCTTGAGTTAATTTTTGTATATAGGGTAAGATTAGGGGTCTAGTTTCATTCTTCTGCATAGCTAGCCAGGTATCTCAGCACCATTTATTAAATAGGGCATCCTTTCCCCCATTGTTTATTTTTGTGAACTTTTTCAAAGATCAAATGGTTTGTAGGTGTACAGCTTCAGCTTCATTTCTGGGATCCTTCTGTTCCATTGGTGTATATGTCTGTCTTTGTACCAGTGACATGCAGTTTTGATTAATGTAGCCTTATAGTGTGGTTTGGAGTCAGGTAATGTGATGCCTTTTGTTTTGTTTTTTGTTTGTTTGTTTTCTGTTTTGTTTTTTTTTTTCTCAGCATTGCTTTGGCTATTTGGGCTTTTTTTTTTGTTTCTATAACTAAAATAATATAACCAGAAATATAAGCAAATGTATGTTTAAAAATGAATGTAGTTAAAAGTTTAAATTGTGATTTAGAAATCTGTTAATTTTTCTTACTAAAATAGAGCTCCGAATATGTAATAAAACAAGTACTACTCATAGTAACACTAAAATTATATTAATAAAACTTAAAGGCTCATCTTTCA
This sequence comes from Homo sapiens, assembly GCF_000001405.40. Taxonomy (NCBI): domain Eukaryota; kingdom Metazoa; phylum Chordata; class Mammalia; order Primates; family Hominidae; genus Homo; species Homo sapiens. The sequence continues at coordinate 791,846 of NW_025791754.1, forward strand.
AATGTACATTTTTATGCAGACAAAAGCTAATGATAGATTAATAATAAATATAGGTTAAACAGAAGTATAAAGTAGTGGAGGGAAAATTGTCTAAATAGATGTTTGACAAATTATTTTGAACTCCTTTTCTTTTTATAAAGTTTGCAGATGGTTGTATCTCAGCATGTCATGGGTCACATGTGGATTTCAACAGCACTTTGAACAAAATTACTTCTAATAATATATGGAAAAGTGGGAAAATATTTAGATTTCATTCTTTGAAATATCATGAATTTTTAGGAAAATTAAGAGTATATACATTCAATCACAAAAGGGAGAATTTATAAAGAAGTAAGTCTGGAGTACAGAAACACTTCTAATAAAAGGTTTTGATCAAATGTTAAATAAAGCTCTTATCTCAGCAATATTTGCTTATTTTTATTGAAGCAAAGAGTGATTTAGTATATACCCTCACATAAGGTGGCAGTGTTCATTTTCCAAAAAGGAAATACATTTTTTTTTCTTTTTTCTTTTTTCTTTTTCTTTTTCTTTCTTTCTTTTCTTTTCTTTTTTTTTTTTTTTGAGAAGGAGTCTCCCTCTGTCACCCAGGCTAAAGTACAGTGACACCATCTCTGCTCACTGCAACTTCCACCTCCTGGGTTCAAGTGATTCTTGTGCCTCAGTCTCCTGAGTAGCTGGAATTATAGGCACACACCACCGCGCCTGGCTAATTTTTTGTATTTTTATTAGAGGTAGGGTTTTACCATGTTGGCCGGGCTGGTCTGAAACTCCTCAAGTGATCCGCCCATCTCGGCCTCCCAAAGTGTTGGGATTACAGGCATGAGTCACTGTGTCCAGACAGAAATCAATTTTTTTTATCCTCTCGAGGTGCTGATGTTTACTCTGACAACTCTGGTGCTACAAGTTTACTGTGCACAATATATATTGAGGTAACCACAACTACTAGCACAAACAATATTAAATTATTAACAGGCCTGATTGTTCAGTACATGCAATCAAGTACTACTCTTTTCTTCAGCTTTATTGATACATAACTGACAAATAAAATTAAATATATTCAAGATGTACAACGTGATGTTTTGATCTATGTGCACATGGTGAAATGACTACCACAATCAAGCTAACTAATATACCTGTTACCTCACATACTTACCTTTCGGTTGTGGTGAGAATATTTAGGATCTACTCTCTTGGTAAATATCAGGTATGCAATATATTATTATTAACTGTAGTCATCATGCTGTACAAAAGGTCTCTGAATTTAGTCATCTTATAACTGTAAGTTTATACAGTTTGACCAACAGCTTCCCTTTTCTCCCACTTCTGACTCCTGGTAACTACTCTTCAACTCTTGGTTTCTATGAGTTCATGTTTTCAAAATTCCACATATAAGTGACATCATACAGTATTTTTCTTTCTGTTTTTTTTTCACTTTTTTTCTGTTTATTTCACTTAACATAATATTAATATCCTCTAGAATCTTCAAATCATCATGTTGCAACCAACGGGATTTCCTTCTTTTTTAAGGCTGAATAATATTTAATTGTATGTATATGTTACATTTTTCTTTCTCTTTTATTTTATTTATTTTTTTTTTTTTGGAGACTCGGTTTCACTCTGTTGCAGTGTAGTCGTATGATCTTAGCTCACTGCAGCCTTGAACTCCCAGGCTCAATCAATCCTCCCTCCTCAGCCTCCTGAGTAGCTGGGACTACAGATGAGCACCACCATGCCCAGCTAATTTTTTTATTTTTTGTAGAGATGAGGTCTCACGATGTTGCCCAAGCTAGCCTCGAACTCCTGGCTTCACGCAACCCTCCTCCCTCGGACTCCCAAAGTGCTGGGATTACAGGTGTGGGCCACCAGACTGGCCACATTTTCTTTCTTCATTTATGGACAGACACTTAGGTTGTTTCTATATCTTGGCTATTGGGAGTAATGCTTAATATCAGTATTGTAAAGAATTATTATGTATATATTCCTTGTTTTCTTTCCTTAAATATGGGTAAATAAAAAAGAAAAACTGGCCCACATGGTAGCTTATGCTTGTAATCCCAGCACTTTGGGAGGCTAAGGCAGACAGATTGCTTGAGCTCAGGAATTCAAGACCAGCTTGGGCAACAGGGCAAAACCCCATCTTTACAAAAAACACAAAAATTAACCAGGTGTGGTGGCACACACGTGTGGTTCCAGCTACTAGGGAGGCTGAAGTGGGAGTATTAGTTAAGCTCAGGAGATTGAGGCTGCTGTGAGTTGCGATGGCACCACTGCACTCCAGTCTGAGTGACAGAGCAAGACTTTGTCAAAAAAAAAGAAATGCAAAAGGCAGAGTAAGGAGGCAACAGAGAAAGGAAAATGTTAGGTATCTAGTTAATAGAGAAAATGTTTAGTGACTATATAATTAGTGTTATAATTACATTAAAAGTTTTAAATAGAAATACTTTTAAATAGAAATTTTAAGCGATTGTGATGATTTTCAGTTTTACTCAGGAAACAATGTAGCTAGCATATGCAACGGACTGCATCAGCATTAGAGGATGAAAATGTAAAACACGCTTTCCTCTTTCAAGGCACTAAGGTGCTTGTGGAGATAGTCATAAGCAGAACTTTTCAATACACTGTGAGACACAGAAAGACAAATACTGCATGATTACACTTACATGAGGTAACTAATATAGTCAAAATCACAGAATCAAAAAGTAGAATGGTGGTTACTGGGGGAGGAAGAGGGGAAAATGAGGAGTTACTAGTCAATAGGCATAAAGTTTGAGATAAACTGGATTAATAAGCTCTAGAGATCTGCTGTACAACATTGTACCTATAGTCAAAAATACTATATTGTGCACTTAAAATTTTTTATAGGGTGGATCTCATATAAGTTTTCTTACCACAATAACGTTTTTGAAAAACCCAAGTTAAAAACAAAAAAAAAGATTTTGTTCAAACAACTATATATATATGTGTGTGTTTTATATATACATAGTACAAATATATATTAATATATGCATTATTAATTAATATGCATTATTAAATACACAATTAAAAGGCATTATTAATTGAATAGTAATTAATATATGCATATATAATATATATGCATGCATGTTATACACAACTGCATATATAATATATATAATGAGAAATGACACAATGTAAATGTGTTCAAGGAGGGTTGATGAGCATATCATCCAATCTGGAGGAAGGAGAGTCAGGAATGGTTTCCTGAAAGAGATGACTGTGATCTGACTCTCAGTAGCTGAGTGAGAGTTGTTGGGGATGAGTATAACATTCTTGGCAGAAGAAATCAAACTACCAATATGCAGAGATGAAAAAGCACATTTTGTATGAAGAGAAATATTAAGTAAGCTTATATTGTTGAGGATAAAGAGCACACTGTAATAAGAGCAATGTGATAGAAAAGAGACAATTTACAGAGGACCTGCATGCTAGAATAAAAAGTAGGCTTGTCCTAAAGAGAATGCAGAGATTTTGTAGGGTTTTAGATAGAATAGAGATGAAGAAAGTTTGCATTTAGTAGATAATTCTGAAAGTCATGTGAAATATGATTCAGAGAAGAAGCAAGACTAGAGGCAGATAGATAAATTTGGAGTAGGCTAATTTCATTAGTCCAAGAGTAAGACTATGAGAACCTGAACCACAGTCATGATAGCAAAAATGAAAGAAACTGTAAATTCAAGAATTATTTCAGAGGTAAAATTAGCTGGATTTAGTGATTGAATAAAAGTGGTATAGGAACCAAGTGGATAAAGGAATCAGGACAAAAGCCAGGTTTATAACCTTCATGATTAGATGAATGATTATATCCATAGCAAGAGGAGGAAGAGAGAGAGAGAGACAGAGAGAGAAAGAAACCAAGACAGAGAGGGAGAGAGGCGGGGGATGCGGGGGAGTGGTAACATAAATTCAATTTTTATTACTTCACTTTCATGAAGTTACATATGAGTCTGAACCTGTGAGAAGAGTTTTGGGAAAAGATGTGGATTGAGAAGGGCAAAAAGCAGATGATGAAACCCTAAGTAGTGCAAACTTTATTTAATGGGCAGAAGTAGGAGTAAAAAGACTACGTACAAGGTCAAGAATAGTAATCAGAAACGTAGAAGCATAACCAGGAGAAAGTGGAATGATAGAAGCCAAGAAAAAGCAGTTTTCCAAGAAGGAGGGAATAGTGAATATTCACTGCCACAGAGGCACCTAGTAAAATAAAGGCTGAAACATACATGTGTTCCCAATACATGTTCCCAAACATATATGCATTTCAGATTAAAAAAAATGAATAATAAGTATAGAAGACAATTTTCAGTTAGTTGAGAAGTTATTTACTCCGTATTATTTCTTGTTATTTATATTTGTTTCATCTGTATCTTTCTATTGTATCGTTTTTAAAAATTCAGACTTTTATATACTACTTTTGTATTTCCTAGTTCATTAAGGTTTATATTTAGTTGTATTAATTTCTTCCTTTTTCTCTTTGGCTTTCTTTGTTGTTCTTTCTCTAGTTTACAGATTTATTTGTTTAGAATTATTTATTCTCATTTTTATATTGATTGATATATTTGAAGCTAATATTTTACTCTGATTACTGCTTTAGTTAATATCCTATAAATTCTGATATGTGATGTTTTCTTTATTGTTTTCTAGAAATTCTGTCATTTTAGTTTATATTTATTTTTTGACCCCAGAGTTGCTTAATAGAAAGTTTGTACATTTCCAGGGAAAATAGCCTTTCTATTTTGCTTAAGTTTTAAATGTGTTGCACTATGATCAGAGAATGTGACCTATATTAATTTATTTGGAATTTAATTAGATTTTCTTTATGACCTAACATATATGGCAAGTATTTATGACTGTTTTATGTGTGCCTAAAAATAAGTGTATTCTTTATTATTAGGGAACAGTGTTGATATAGATCCATAAGGTATAAAGTATTGATTGTTAGAATCTTCTATATCTTTGACTAATATTTTGTTCACTTGAAATCTTTTAGATAATAAATTTTATTAAATTTTCTTCCTATTTCCTGTCTTATAAAGTTTCTGCTTTATGAAATTTACCATTACATTAATTTATTATGGATACTTATAACTGAATTGTGTCTCCTTTTGCAATTAAGGTTTTATAAAAGGTCCTTCTTTGATTAATTTATTGTTTATGGCAGGATTTTCACTTTGTCAAGCCCAGTATCCTTGATATTTTCTGTTGTTTAAATTGGTTGTACTTTTAAATAATGTACTTTTTTTAAAAAGTACACTTATGGTACAGTACACTTAATTAAAATTTACCATCCTAACCATTTTTAAGTGTATAGTTTAGTGGCATTAACTACATTCGCGCTGTTGTACAACTGTAACCAGCATCCATCTCCAAAATTCTTTTCCTCTTGTAAGACTAAAGCTCCGAACCCATTAAACAACTTAGCATTTCCCTCTCCTTCCAATTCTTGGCAACCACCATTCTACTTTCTGTCCCTATAAATTTGTCAATGCTAGCTATCTCATATGAGTAAAATAATACTTTTAATGCAATACTATATAATATAGTAATATTTTCTTATTGTAACTGGCTTATATAATTTAACATGATGACCTCAAGTTGATGTCTTACTGTGGTTTTGATATACATTTCCCTAATGATTAGTGTTGGGCATCTTTTCATGTGTTTGTTGGCCATTTATTTATCTTGACTGAAGAAATACCTATTTATATTCTTCACTGTTTGTTTGTTTGTTTGTTTTTGAGATGGAGTTTCGCTCTTGTTTCCCAAGCTGGAGTGCAATGACACGATCTCAGGTCACTGCAACCTCCACCTCCCAGGTTCAAGCCATTCCACTGCCTCAGCCTCCCAAGTAGCTGGTATTACAGGCATGTGCCACCATGCCCAGCTAATTTTTGTATTTTTAGTAGTGACGAGGTTTTGCCACGTTGGTCAGGCTGGTCTCAAACTCCTGACCTCAGGTGATCCAAGTGCCTTGGCCTCCCAAAGTGCTGGGACTGCAGGCGTGAGCCACCGTGCCTGGCCCCTCACTAATTTTTATATTCTGTTATTTGCCTTCTTATTTTGAGTTATGAGAGTTTTTTATATATTCTGGATAAAAATCACTTATGAAATATATGATTTTTAAATATTTTCTCCGCTTTTGTGGGTGGCTTTCTCACTTTGCTGATTCTGTCCTTTGATCTTTACTCCATGTACTTTTTTCTACCCCTTCTTTTCTTTTTAACTATTTTGAAGAAGTTAGTTTTAGTTGTGCCTTTTGCACACAACATTGAGCTGGGTTTTGCTTTGGAACCAAATAAGAAAATGTTTTTCTCTTCTAATAGAAGATTTAAGTTCTTTATAAGAATTTTATAGGTTTTTTAAATATCTATAGTGTGTGCAGATACAGCTTTTTAAAACTTTTCACTATATGGTCTGCTTTCGTTGCTCATTATATTGCTGCTATTGCTGCTGTTGCAGTAGTTTTTACATTTATTTTGCTATTTAGGAAGAAGGGTATTTTTAGGTAGTTTATTTATGCTATTATTTTAAAATAATATCCTACTTCCACAGGTTTTGGGCAATGTCTATTTGTTATCATAAAAAATAAAATAAAATTGGCTTACAACTTCTTTCTTTCGTCTCCTTCTTTCCAACTCCTCCATCATCTAAGTTTATTCAATGTTAAGATCTTTCTTGGTGTTTATATTGGTTCTTTTAAATATGTTTAGAATTCTACTATTCTATTTCAGCTTTAAATTTTATTATTTGACTCCCACCTATAACCTATGAAGGAAGAAATGAAGGGAAGGAAGGACAGAAAAAAGAAAAGTAAAAGAAAGAATATAAGGAAGATAAAACCATTGAAAAGTCCATCAGTGAAAGAATAATTAAATAAATTATGTTACCCCCAGCTTATAAAATGCTATTCAGTTATTATAAAGTCAACCTGTATATGTTAACATTACAATTGCTTATTTTATTTTGGGTGAAAATATAAGTCCTACAACAATATATACACTATGATACATAATATATAGCCCACTTATATATAAAAACCAATGTGTATATAAATACATATTTAAGTGTGTATATTTACATCTGGGAAGAAACAGAGCAAACTCTTTACAGTGCTAATCTCAGGACCAAGGAAGTAGATCTGAGGTATTTGAGAGAATAAGGGAAATTATATCACTAATGTTATTTACATTTGTATTGTTTGGATTGTCTTACAATGTCAAAGAGCTGCTCCTTTATTTTAGGAAAATAATAAATTACTTTAAAATTGTAATTTTAAAAATATCTTGTCATAGAGTAATTTACTTGATGCTAAGTATACACATTAACTGAATTTGTATTTTCTCATAAATTGTTTCTAAAGTACATAATGACAAAATGCCTGTCAAATTGAAACCTTGCATATTGTCTAAAAACTAGTCTTTCATTTAAATTTGAGAAGTGTATTAGGCAAACTGCTTCTCAGTTTTGGTTAGACTTTTTACGCTTCCCATTGCCTCCATTTTTTCTCAAAGGAATCAGGCTCGGTTTCCCTGAATTTGGGTTTAATGTGTAATGTTCTCTAGCATTTTGATCTTTCTTTTTCTTGAAGAAAAAGACAGATATCAATAAATTCTTAACTTCTCTTTGAGAAATTAAAGTTTCTCTGGGCAGAACCAGGTAGCATCCTTCTAAGCTTTGGAATACCCTGGGGCAATCACCATGTTAGTGATTCTTTGATCTTTGACTTAGTGTCCTATGCTACAAGGATGGCACATCTTCTAAGCAAAGTTTGCTTTCATATTCATCAGAATAAAATTTATCTCACAAAATAAAACTATTTAAAAAGCAAAATGGTAATTATTGTAACATTATTTTCAACATCTCACAAATCTAATTGAAGTGATAATTCAATGAAGCTATTACAATTTGCCAAATCACCTGGCTAGATTGTGCCTTTTCATCAAGCTATCTTTTACTTCTGCCATCATCTCACTTTCTACATGACTTTTTCAAACTTTCTCCCCTCTCCTCAGTCCTTCAACTTGTCTCCCACGATAGCCCTCCACAGGGGAAATAAAAAACACATGACATGAATGTGCTTATTCCTGCCACAAATTCACTTTTCCTAGCCAAGGGCCATCCCTTTACTTATGGCACTGGTCCCATCTCTTCTTATTTTTTCAAGAATCTTCTACAATCTGTTATGCAATATTTTCTCAACATCTTCCACCTGGTTCTTCATTCTAATGTAATGTAAACATGCTCAAACTGTTCAAATTTCTCCCATTTTATTAAAACAAAAATCTTCTTTATGTATTTCTTTTTTCTTTCTTTTTTTTTTTTTTTTTTTTTTTGAGATGGAATCTTGCTCTGTCGCCCAGGCTGGAATGCAGTGACTCAATCTCGGCTCACTGCAACCTCTGCCTCCTAAGCTCAAGCAATTCTTCTGTCTCAGCTTCCTGAGTAACTGGGATTACAGGCTCATACTACCACGCCCAATTTTTGTATTTTTAGTAGAGACAGGGTTTCACCATATTGGTCAGGCTGGTCTTGAACTCCTGACCTCAGATGACCCACCTGCCTCAGCCTCCCAAAGTGCTGGGATTATAGGCTTGAGCCACAGCGCCCGGCAGACCTCCTTTATTTCTATCCCTCCATTCACTGTCACACATATTGGCAAGCTCACTACATTCATATTTCTGATTTTTTGTACCTTACATTTATTCCTCATCCTACTCTCGTCTCAATTTCCTACTGGATGCTCTTTCTTTCAAGGTAATCAATAATAACCAAACAGCATTTTTAGTCCCCATCTCTTCTGCTTTTCATTCAAATAGTTTGGCCATTTCTTATCAGTTTCCTTTGTTGTATCTTGTCCTATTCCCAAACACTAAACTTTGGTGCCTCAAAGCCCTGAAGTAGGCCTACATCTATCTTCACCCTGAAAAACTCGTCTATTACCTTAGTTTTATTAAACACCTACTGACTTATGACTCCAAATTATGCCTAGTGCTCTGTTCTGATACCCAGGCTTATGTAACTGTTACAGATTGAGCTACCCAGGGAAGTCAGCCTTGAGATGGAAATTAGCAGACAAGAGGACTTTCAGGGAGTATTCTTGGGCTTCACACCTGGGGAAGGGAAACGAAGGAAGTCAAAAGGGAGAAGTTGAGTTGCAATGTCATTTCAACCAGAGGCCCCAGTCAATACTATGAGGAACTCAGAAGCTGAAATTACTCTTTAGAACTGTCCTGAGTTTGGGTGAGGAGCCTTTTCTTTATAAGTCCTGTTGATCAATCATTAGTGTAGGCCAACCTGGGAAGAAGCTATGACCTTAGGGAAAGAGGCTCCCTTAAGCTGAGGCAACCCCTTTTAGGGAACTGATAAGTGAGAGCTCCCAGTAGCTGGAAAAGTAAGTCTTTGTGTTTCTGAAGGAAATCTAGGTGGTTCATCAAAGCATCAACCATAAGAATCAAGTGCTTCCTCAAGAATCACTTGAACCTGGGAAGAGAAGGTTACAGTGAGCTGAGACGGTGCCACTGCACTCCAGCTCTGTCTGGGTGACAGAGCGAGACTCTGACTACAAAAAAAAAAAAAAAAAAAAAAAAATCAAGTGCTTACTTAGTCTTTTCACTTTCCTATCTCACAGATACCTCAAAAGCACATTTCCAAAATTATTAATAAAACTCTTCATGCTAATCCCCACTCCCTCCCATTGCTTCTCCTTGCCATTCTTCCTATCATATTTAGATAGCCACTTAGTCAAGCCAAAACCTAGGAGTCCTCCTGAACTCTTTTCTCTGCCTCACTGTCCCCCACATCTAATCAATTATCATTATAATGATGTCACATCCTAAATATCTTATTTCAGCCTATTTTGTACCATCCTGCTGCTGCCACCGGTGTAAGTGACTACCTTATCTTTGCCAGATGACTGCCTCGTTTTCCTCAGTGATTTCTCTTTGCCCACACTTTTTGCCCTTCAGATCAGTCTCTCCATATTACAGTCAGTGATGTCTTTTAAAAATTCCCAGTAAGCATCGCATTCTATTTAGTGACTTCCAAAATCTTTAATTTGACCTACAAAGGCCTTCACAATCAGGGCTCCAACCTCTCCAAGTTTCGCATACTCCTCTCTGTCCTTCACTCCTTTCCACTCAATCCATACTGGGTTTTTATTAGCTTCTTGGAAATGTCATGTTCTTTGCTGTATTTCATGTTCTTTCTCTACATGAATTCTTATCATTTCTCCCATCCAATCTCAGCCTATATGTCACTTATATATCACTTCCTCACTGAAGACTTTTTAAACACCCAGTACTAGGCAGTATCATCTGGTGTTTACTGACAAAGATGGTGTCTTTGCTGCCATGCCTTATTTTGTAAGGATTTGCTTATATCTTTCTTCCGCTCCGAGAGACAAGCTCCACAAGAGCAGAAACAGTCTGTGTCTTATTCATTGTTTTATTTTCAGTGCTCGGTGTAATGCCTAGCATAGAGTATGAGCTTTGACTTTGCAAATGCCATTCCTTCTACTTGAAGTGTGTTTTCTAGTTTTGTAAACCTCAGATTTACTTTAACTTTTTTCCAAGAAGCTTCCTATACCACATTCATACAAAAAAAAAAAAAGGTTAAATACTACCTACTTTGTGCCACCACTTTACTTCGTACATGCTTCCACTGTTGCACTTTTCAAAATTTTTATTTCTTTAGCATGTGGAGTTTACTTTGAGCTGCACTGCCTAAATAATTTTTTATCTCCTCGCAACATATAAAAATCAGTGCATTTCACAATTAACAAATCAGAACATATGGCAATACTGGATACAATATTCCCCCATGACAATTATTCACCTTGAGCGAAGTAGTTGTCCAGGTTAAACAGTGCATGCCATCTCCAGTTCACTAGAAATATCACTAGATAAGCCACAATCATCACCCATTTTGAGTCTGCAATCACTAGTACAAGTTTATCTCTTTTACTAAGTAAGTAGTTTTTTACTTTGTGAGTTCTTTGAAATAACGAGGTGAATTTTAATCATTTTGAATCCTGTACTACCCAGCATGTTCCCTGGGATATAGCAGGTGCTCAATAATGTTATTTAATTGATAGATTGGGAAATTTATTTAAAAAGATTAATGCTTTTCTGTTGATATTTAATTTTAATTAAATTTCCATTTTTATGAGATCCACTGTGGGAACCTACTACAGGAGATTAATTAAAATAATGAATATGAACTCAAGGACAGTTCTGAAATATACATGTTTAACATTGAATGAATTAATACTTATTTAATCCACAGAGTTAGGTCAGCTGTGGCATCATTTCCAAAAGAAGCTATTTCATACCCAGCAGTAGAGAATTGTACATTGGGCATTTGAGAATATCATCGTAATGAGAAACTAAGATCTTGAGTTAGAAAAACTGAGTAGTTTCTAGAAAGGAAAACTCGTTCTAATACCAACAACCAATCCTAATCGGGGTCCTAGTATCTGGGTACTAGTGCTATTACATATGCTTATGAATGAGCTGAAATAATTAGAAGTATAACTCTCACTTCAAATGAAAAAGTGACAGTGTTGCTGTTTCATGTCTCTAACAGACCTTGATAATACTGACACTCATTTTTTGATGCTTGTAGAACTCTCTTATTTCAGATTTTGTAGTCTGCATAATTCCAAAAATTATTTGATATAAAAAAAGACTTGAAAGTGTAAAATGTAAAAATGCCAAGAGTCCTGGGAGGCCAAGGCGGGTGGATCACATGAGGTCAGGAGTTCGAGGCCAGCCTGGTCAACATGGTGAAACCTTGTCTCTACTAAAAATACAAAAAAAAAAAAAAAACCGTAGCGGGCGTGGTGGTACACGCCTGTAATCCCAGCTACTTGGAAGGCTGAGGAAGGAGAATTGCTTGAACACGGGAGGCAAAAATTGCAGTGAGCCAAGATCATGCCATTGCACTCTAGCCTGGGCGACAGAGCAAGACTCTGTCTCTAAATAAATAAATAAATAAATAAATAAAATTAAATAAAATTCCAAGGGTCATTCTTTCTTTAATTGTGTCTCTTTAACAATATTTGAGCACATGTTCAAATATGGTAGTACACCACCTCATAAACAATTTGGTTATTAACGTTGTAGCAAATATTACAGTTAATTTTAAAAGTTTTTTACATTTAGAAAGTCTGAAGGGCAGTCTCTTCTGCCTTTAATAAGGCAGATCCTCTAATACAGCATATAGTTTCTTATCTCTAGTGTGTTTGGCCCTTTAATAGTGACATAAACTTTGAATTAAGGGTAACAAAAGCCTTAATATTAATAAAGATGATGACGAATGTGAATGTGAAATTTTTGCACATACAGTATATTGAAAACAACTATATAGTCTAGTCAATGGGCATTAGGAAATGAAAATATGATGTGTAGATTAATTTGTAACAGATGGAAGACATACAAAAGAGATTAAGTTCTACATCAAATCATACAAACTAAAAATTAGACATTTATTGGTTTTCATTTATAAATAACGAAATGTTCAGCACAAATAATTTAGATTCAAATATTTAAGCAAGGAAAAACTCCGAAGTTTTTAACTTATTTCCTCAAAATTATATTTTATAAGGAATTTCATGATGTATTGAAATATGACTCCTCTTTCTGCCATTCATTTCTATGTTCTTAAGGGTTCTTGATAAGACAGAGTGCTTGAGGGGAAAAAGAGAGATTTTTGAAATAAGCATCAATTGCAGTCAGGTGTTAATTACAATCTCAGCCTTTCAATTTTTCATATAATGAGTCATTGTTTTTATTAAGTACTAATAAGAATAAATGATCTTACTTAGTAAATAATACCACCAGTTCCCTTTTAAAAATGCAATATTATTTACTACACTACTCATGATTTTTTAAATATTTTCTACGTGTTTACCTTTTTCTCTTAAAAGTGAGAAATTCATACTGTACCAAAACATTTAAATAGCATATAAAATTTTTTCCACCCTGATGCTACCACAATTAGAAATAAAAATAAAAATTTTTCCCACTATTGTGTGTCTTTTAAATATTTTTTTACTAGAGTGGTCAAAGCATCTAAAAAACTGACTTTATGTAGTTCATACAGTTCATTGTTTGCATTTTTTAAAACAGGACCACATGCACTTTGCCACTACTTATATTTTTAATATTCTTAGTTGAACAAAAAATATAATTTCCATTTTTTATATATAGTGTCTTCAAAAAGGGTTAAAATTGTGATCCTACAAAATGGTTTACATCATTTTATTATACTTTTTTAACATTTCTCTAAGAAAATTGTTAAATTATTTCCTGTAAGTAGCAGAGGATATATTTTTTAAACTGTCATATGAGGAAACACTTTAGTATGTAATTTCCAAAAGTTACACAAAAATGTGGTCCTGAAAATAAATACCACATTTTCCAACCTTTATTAGTAGTGCTTGAACTTATATTGAGAAGTAGGAGAAAGTGTGATTTTTGTCCTTATCACAGAACATATAGGTTAATTTTTGCACATTGAAATATTGCACGTATAAATTGGTTTATTTTTCCATTTGCCAAAGTGTCACAAATATCAAATGGCAAACGTTGCTTTCACTTCAGACAATTCAGAAGGCCTGTTGAATTGATTACCACTTCCAGTTGTTTGTTTGGTGTAAAAAAAATGAAGAAAATATTATTATTTTTTCTTTGCAATTGCCATAAAGTATGAGTGGTATAGAACATAACATTTCTGAAATGTTGAATAACAATCTGACCAAAAAAAATAATCTGACCAAAAAAAAAAAACTTCTTACCTTTGTCTTGGAATACATCTTGGATATTTTAACTGCCCTCTGTCACATTGCATTCTAAGTATAGATCCAGTAATATATAATTCAGCTGGATAAGTATCTCCTCTACAAATAAACTCAATATATTCACCATGCAAAATGTGTGGTCTATTGTCAAAATCCCATTTCAGAAGTAAATTATTCTTTTCCATTTCAGTAAAAGATAATGTGCATGGCTCTGGGAACAACAATTTAAAAAAAAAGAAAGAAAAAGAAGAAAACTATCTTGTTACATCTTGGTAAGAACAGGAATCGTTGTGTTGCCTACTCATGAGGACCTTAAAATTCTCAGGCCTAAGAGCAGCAAGTCAGTTAATCAGAATTAATATTTGAGTCAGAAAATATGTTCAAATCTCACAGAAAACAGTGAGCCATTTCTCTCTGTGGTCCTGGATTTGGAGAAAAGGTATTTTCTTCCAGTTTTAAAAACTAAAAGGTATTTTAGTTTTATGTCATTAGCTTTTTCAAAGATAGCAAACAAACAAAAAGGTATTTGGGGGGAAGCATTGACAGTTACTAATGGTCATTGATATCATGCTCTTTTCCCTTTTCCTTCTTCAGAAAGTTCAAATAAAATTCTCATGAGACAAATTATTAATTGCTGTATAAATAACATTTTATGGAAATGTAGATTCTCAACACTGACCCAAGCTTTATAACCTCATGCCATCCAAAATGGTTGACAGTTACTTCTCTTTCAAATTTCTAGTTAAGAAATATCAAGACTGGATTAAGACGTTTTAAATTCTAAGCATACAAAGTATAGTTGTGTCCTTTCCCATGTATCGTAAACCAAAGAGAATGGTAAAGTATGTATTAAAATACACAAAAAAACCTCTTCGATTTTTTTTACAGAATAAAAACATTAATATTTCTAAAATATCAAATATCAAATTATTTCAGAAAATGGGATTTCTTATGTCCTTATTTGTCTCCTGGATGACCTAGCATTAAGGAATAACTTCTGAGACAGGTAAAAAGGTCCAGAGTTGCTAATATGGCATATCAATCATATACCTGTAGTACATTAACAAACTTACTTACAGTATGCCCCTCCCTGATTGCCTACAGGGGATACATTTCAAGAGCCCCAGTGCATGCCTGAAACCGCAGATAATGCTAAACCCTGTTGTCATTCTTTTGGAACATGTTTCTGTTCATGTCTTCTGCCCACAAATTTAATGCCTCTTCCACCTCAACTAAACATTTATTATACACTGTGGCTTGTAACTTTTGCAGTTTGAGGTGCAACAACGAAACTAGCATGGATTTCTTTTTCCTTCTTCACACTTTCATAGACAGAAGACTCATTGTTACCATGGATCTTAGCAACCTCAGCATACATTTATTTTTCCTTTCTTTTTAAGTTAAGAATTTCCGCCCTTTCACTTAAAGGAAGCACTTTACAGCTTCTTTTTAGCATATCTGGGGCAGGAAGGATGGAATGGCATGAAATTTTATTATACTACTAAGTGCATAATTTAAAATTTATAAGTTGTTTATTTCTGAAATTTTCAATTTAACGTTTTCAGACTGCAGTTTATAGCAGGTAACTGAAACCACAGAAAGTGAAACCGCAGCTGAGAGCACTGTGTTCAGTTACTTTCTTCAACAACTACTTATTAAATGCCTATGTGTCAAACATTATGCTGGAAGTGCTACAGGTGATGAAAATGAACAAGAATTATTACACTCATTACAAAATAGTTGTGAAAATGAAGTCGAATAGCACTATAATTTACGATGTCACTGTTCTACAGAACATGAGATTTAAATTAAAATAAATTTAAAAGTTGATTCATGGACCTTTAACTTTCAGCTATGACAGAGGAGATTATATCAAACCAGCACTTCTATTAAGAACCAGAAAATCTGAAAAACAGGAAGCATTTCGAGGTATCAGAAAACCTCCAAGGAACTTAGTCAAGGAAGTAAGGTTCTGGAAAAAATGTATTCAGGTGAGTTCAACATCTATGTGAGGCTGGGCGTGGTGACTCACACCTGTAATCCCAGCACTTTGGGAGGCCAAGGCGGGCGGATCATCTGAGGTCAGGAGTTTGAGACCAGCCTGGCCAACATGGTGAAACCCCATCTCTACAAAAAAAAAAAAAAAATAGCCGGGCATGGTGGCATGCACCTGTAATCCCAGCTACTCGGGAAAGCTGAGGCAGAAGAATCTCTTGAACCTAGAAGGTGGAGGTTGCAGTGAGCAGGGATCGCACCACTGCACTCCAGCCTGGGCAACAAAAGGAGACTGTCTAAAAAAAAAAAAAAATTCTATGTGCCATTTTTTTCTCTTGAGGTGTTTGTTGACTCTAAGTCTGACCTGAGAGGTTAGATGATAGAGAATGGTAAGCTTAGGCATACAGCCAGCAGAACTTCTGAAAATCTCATGGAGTTGAAGATAGAAAAATGAGAATTTCGGTAAACCAAAGCAGCCAGGACTTGAAGAATAAAGAATTTAGAAGGATAGGAAGTGTAGAGATATGAGTTTGAGGCTCTGCACTAGCTTTTCCCTAAGGTACTGCTTATCCTTGACTTGTATAGAGGCATAGGATGAGAAGCCAAGCAGAAAGTAAATAAAAAGTTACAGTGGGCATTTGGCAGTCTCCCAGTAATATCAGAGACAGTCAAGGAGAAAAAGCTTTAATACACACAACAAACCCTCTGTAAAGAGCCCTGGAGAGTTACAGTCTGTGAGAAAAGGCAAACAGAGGTCTGAAAACAAACATAGAGAAAGCTTTATTTCTAATTGTATTAAAACCAACTGCCTCTACACTAATCATCAGCCAGAGGATGAGATGAGTCTTCTTTGGAGTAAGCTGACATCATCCAAACATCCTGAAATTTTCCACGTATAATATTTGGAATTCAATCAACTGTTAACAAAAATATCAAGAATTTGGGGCTAAAAAATAGATCCAGATATTGGAGTTTGCAGACAAGCCTTAATAAAAAGTATGAATTATATGTTCAAGAAGTTGATGTTAAGCTAGGATCTTTCATCAGATAACTCAAATCTACAAAAAGAAAATATAAAATAGAAATGCAAAGATGATAACTGAAATTGAGAACTCAAAAGATGAGTTTAAAGCAGATTGGATACATCTAAAGAGAGGATTGTTAAACTAGAAGAAAATTACCAAATAGAAACAAAGAAATGATACAATGAGAAAATTACCAAAAAATTACTACAGTGAAACAAGAAGAAAATGAGAGAAAATATAGATTTAAAGAGACAATGGCATAGCAAAAAGATGTAATATATGTAATATGGCATCACAGAAGAGGTGAGAAATGTACATTTTAAAAGATATTAGCCAAACATTTCTAAAACCCATGAAGGATATCAAGTACATCAAGGTTCAAGGAATGCTACTAACTTGAAGAACAAAATGTACAAAGAGAGTCTCATTGTGTTGCACTGATCTCCCTGGGAGCTGCAGACCGGAGCTGTTCCTATTCGGCCATCTTGGAACTAACTCATATATATATATATTTATATATATATAGAGAGAGAGAGAGAAAGAGAGAGAGGGAGAGATTTGTTTCTGATTTGTTTCTAAGGAACTCCAGCCTGGGCAGCACAGTGAGAAATGGTACACTCCTGACCAAATACTGTGCTTTTCCCAAGGTCTTAGCCACCGACAGACCAGGAGATACCCTCCCTTGCCTGGCTCAGCAGTTTCCACGCCCATGGAGCCTTGCTCACTGCTAGCTCAGCAGTCTGAGATCAACCTGTGACACGACAGCGTTATGGGGGGAGGGTCGTCTACTATTGCTGAGCAGGGGTTACAATCCTAGTCTCTGATAAAACAGACTTTAAACCAACAAAGATCAAAAGAGACAAAGAAGGCCATTACATAATGGTAAAGGGATCAATTCAACAAGAAGAACTAACTATTCTAAATATATATGCACCCAATTCAGGAGCACCCAGGTTAATAAAGCAAGTCCTTAGAGACCTGCAAAGAGATTTAGACTCCCACACAATAATAATGGGAGACTTTAACACCCCACTGTCAATACTAGACAGATCAACGAGACAGAAGGTAAATAAGAATATCCAGGACTTGAACTCAGCTCTGGACCAAGCAGACCTAATGGACATCTGCATAACTCTCCACTCCAAATCAAAAGAATATACATTCTTCTCAGCACCACACTGCACTTATTCCAAAATTGACCACATAACTGCAAGTAAAACACTCTTTGGCAAATGAAAAAGAACAGAAATCACAACAAACTGTCTCTCAGACCACAGTGCAATCAAATTAGAACTCAGGATTAAGAAACTCACTCAAAACTGCACAACTACATGGAAACTGAACAGCCTACTCCTGAATGACTACTAGATAAATAACGAAATGAAGGCAGAAATAAAGATGTTCTTTGAACCCAGTAAGGACAAAGACACTACGTACCAGAATCTCTGGGACACATTTAAAGCAGTGTGTAGTGGGAAATTTATAGCACTAAATGCCCACAAGAGAATGCAGGAAAGATCTAAAATCGACACCCTAACATCACAATGAAAGAACTAGAGAAGCAAGAGCAAACACATTCAAACGCTAGCAGAAGGCAAGAAATAACTAAGATCAGAGCAGAACTGAAGGAAATAGAGACACAAAAAATCCCTTCAAAAAAATCAATGAATCCAGGAACTGTTTTTTTAAAAAAGATAAACAAACTACATAGACTGAGAGCAAGACTAATAAAGAAGAAAAGAGAGAAGAATCAAATAGATGCAATAAAATATAATAAAGGGAATATCACCACCAATCCCACAGAAATACAAACTACCATCAGAGAATACTATAAACACTCTATGCAAATAAACTAGAAAATCTAGAAGAAATGGACAAATTCCTGGACACATACACCCTTCCAAGACTAAACCAGAAAGAAGTTGAATGTCTGAATAGACCAATAACAGGGTCTGAAATTGAGGCAATAATTAATAGCCTACAAATCAAAAAAAGCCCAGGACCAGATGGATTCACAGCCGAATTCTACCAAAGGTACAAAGAGGAGCTGGTACCATTCCTTCTGAAACTATTCCAATCAATAGAAAAAGAGGGAATCCTCCCTAATTCATTTAATGAAGTCAGCATCATCCTGATATCAAAGCCTGGCAGAGACACAACAACAACAAAAAACAGAATTTAGACCAATATTCCTGATGAACATCGATGTGAAAATCCTCAATAAAATACTGGCAAACCAAATCCAGCAGCACATCAAAAAGCTTATCCACCACGATCAAGATGGCTTCATCCCTGGGATGCAATGCTGGTTCAACATACACAAATCAATAAACATAATCCATGACATAAACAGGACCAATGACAAAAACCACATGATTATCTCAATAGATTCAGAAAAAGCCTTCGACAAAATTCAACAGCCCTTCATGCTAAAAACTCTCAATAAACAAGGTATTGAGGGAATGTACCTCAAAATAATATGAGCTGTTCATGACAAACCCACCACCAATATCTTACTGAATGGGCAAAAAGTGGAAGCATTTGCTTTGAAAACTGGCACAAGACAGGGATGCCCTCTCTCACCACTCCTATTCAACATAGTGTTGGAAGTTCTGGCCAGGGCAATCTGTCAAGAGAAAGAAATAAATGGTATTAAATTAGGAAAAGAGGAATTCAAATTGTCCCTGTTTGCAGATAACATGATTATATATTTAGAAAACCCCATCGTCTCAGCCCAAAATCTCCTTAAGCTGATAAACAATTTCAGGAAAGTCTCAGGATACAAAATCAATGGCAAAAATCACAAGCATTCCTATACATCAATAATAGACAAACAGAGAGCCAAATTATGAGTGAACCCCCATTCACAATTACTTCAAAGAGAATAAAATACCTAGGAATCCAACTTACAAGGGATGTGAAGGACCTCTTCAAGAACTACTAACCACTGCCCAACGAAATAAAAGATGACACAAACAAATGGAAGAACATTCCATGCTCATGGATAGGAAGAATCAATATCGTGAAAATGGCCATGCTGCCTAAGGTAATTTATAGATTCAATGCCATCCCCATCAAACTACCATTGACTTTCTTCACAGAATTGGACAAAACTACTTTAAAATTCATATGGAACCAAAAAAGAGCCCGCATTGCCAAGACAATCCTAAGCAAAAAGAACAAAGCTGGAGGCATCAGGCTACCTGACTTCAAACTATAATACAAGGCTACAGTAACCAAAACAGCATGATACTGGTACCAAAACAGATATATAGACCAATGGAACAGAACAGAGGCCTCAGAAATAATGCACACACATACAACCATCTGATGTTTGACAAACCTGACAAAAACAAGAAATGGGAAATGATTTCCTATTTCATAAATGGTGTTGGGAAAACTGGCTAGCCATATGTAGAAAGCTGAAACTGGATCACTTCCTTATACCTTATACAAAAATTAACTCAAGATGCATTAAAAATTTAAATGTAAGACCTAACACCATACAAACCCTAGAAGAAAACCTAGGCAATATCATTCAGGACATAGGCATTGGCAAGTACTTCATGACTAAAACACCAAAAGTAATGGCAACAAAAGCCAAAATAGACAAATGGAATTTAATTGAACTAAAGAGCTTCTGCACAGCAAAAGAAACGATCATCAGAGTGAACAGGCAACCTACAGAATGGGAGAAAATTTTTGCAATCTATCCATCTGACAAAGAGCTACCATCCAGAATCTACAAAGAGCTTAAAAAGTTTACGAGAAAAAAACAACCCCATCAAAAAGTGGGCAAAGGATACGAACAGACACTTCTCAAAAGAAGACATTTATGCAGCCAACAGACATATGAAAAAATGCTCATCATCACTGGTCATCAGAACCACAATGAGAGACCATCTCACTCCAGTTACAATGGCGATCATTAAAATGTCAGGAAACAGCAGATGCTGGAAAGGATGTGGAGAAATAGGAGCGCTTTTACACTGTTGGTGGGAGTATGAACTAGTTCAATCATTGTGGAAGACAGTGTGGCGACTCCTCAAGGATCTAGAACTAGAAATACCATTTGACCTAGTGATCTCATTACTGGGTATATACCCAAAGGATTATAAGTCATTCTGCTATAAAGACAAATGCACAGATATGTTTTTTGCAGAACTATTCACAATAGCAAAACTTGGAACCAACCCAAATGTCTATCAATGATAGACTGGATTAAGAAAATGTGGCACATACACACCATGGAATACTATGCAGCCATTAAAAAGGATGAGTTCATGCCCTTTGCAGGGACATGGATGAAGCTGGAAGCCATCATTGTAAGCAAACTATTACAAGGACAGAAAACCAAACACTGCATGTTCTCACTCATAGGTGAGTGTTGAAGAATGAGAACACATGGACACAGGGCAGGGAATATCAAACACCAGGGCCTGTCTGTGGGGGTCTGGGGGAGGGATAGCTTTAGGAGAAATACCTAATGTAAATGAAGAGTTGATGGGTGCAGCAAACCAACATGGCACATGTATACCTATGTAACAAACCTGCACATTGTGCATATGTACCCTAGAACTTAAAATATTATATATATATATGTGTATATATATATACACACACACCTATATGGAGAGAGAGAGAGAAAGAGGGAGATGACCAATGGGATATACATGGAGTATAGTAACATACACCTAGTATAGAAAGTTGGTAGGGTTGGTAGGTATAAACAGAAATATATTAGTAATTACATGAATATGTAAATAGACTATTCCATTACAAGGGAAAAAATTATAAACTGCATAAGTATATTTTAAAATAAGGTATATATTGCTTATAAGAGAGGCACACTAAAAGTAAAAACCCAGAAGGTTGAAAGTTAAGGGATGGAAAAATGTGTACTACATGAATGCTTGTCAAAAGCCCCTTGGTGCAGCTAAAGGAGACCTCAAGGCAAAAAAAAAGGCAAAGCATTACTATATATGAAGGAGGTCTTTTAAAATTAGACAATGCCAATACACCAAGATACGAAGATTTAGTGTCTCAATTTGTGTGTGTACCTAATGAAATAGTATCAAAATACAAAAGCAAAAATGGACAGAACTAAAATTAGTAATGTTTTAAAATGCCAAGTGAGACTTTAACATGCTTCTCTCAGTGATTGATAGAAAACAAACACACACAAATCAGTACAGCTTTGGATTAACTTAAACATCAAAAACAAAACTCAATCCAATTCACATATATAAAACAGTGAACCCAACAATGACAAAGTTAACTTTTTTCAAGTATGAAAAGAACGTTTACCTAAAGCAAATACATGCTTGTTATAAAGCAAATATCAACAAATTTTAAAGTGCAGATATAATTCAAAGTATGTCTTAATTGAATTAAACTAGAAATCAGTAACCAAAAGAAAACTAGAAAATCCCCTAAATATTCAGAACTTTAAAAAGAAACTTCTAAATGATTCAGAGCACAGAGAATATATCAAAATGAATACTATAAAATTTTTGAGCTGAATGACAGTAAAAATCCAAGATATAAAAATGGTTTGGATGAAGTTAAAGTTGTGCTCAGAGAGAAATTTCTATTTTTAAATTCATGTATTAGAAAAAATATAAATGCTGAAAATTAGTAATCTATGTATTCATCTAAACAAGCCAGAAAAAGAGTAACAAAAGAAATCCAAGAACATAGAAGAAAGGAAATAATAAAGATAATAGCATAATTAATAAAATAGAAAGCAAAATTTGATGAATCAACAAATGCAAATGTTGGTTTTTTGAAAACACTAATAAAATGTATAGACCCTTAGCAAGGCATGTCAAGACAGATACATATTAATAGAAGTAATAACAAAAGATACATCAATAAAAACATCAAAAAGAGGATAGGAAGATGTCATAACTACTTTATGTTAGTAGATTTGACAATGTAGTTGTAATGAACCATCAAGAAACCACTCCCTACCAAAACTGACAGAAGAAGAAATAATTACCATTATTTGTTAAACAAATCGAAGCTGTCAATTTGTCTTTTCACGGAAAAACTCAAGTCCCAGATGGCTTCTCTGGTTAACTCTTAAAATTATAAAGGAAGAAATAGCATCAATCCAGAGAACCAGAAAAGACGGAACACTTCCCATTCATGGGATGAGGTCAGCACAGACTTGATATCAAACCAGAAAGGAAAATAACCAACCAGTCTTTCTCATGAAAATAGATGAGTAAAATATTGATAAATAAAAATATAACATATAATATGCATAATTTATCACAACCTTGTGGAATTTCTTATGGGAATAGAATCATGCTTTAACATTCAAAAGAAGCAATATAATTCATTAAATTTGCAGGGGAAAAAACAAAAGTAATAATTATGTAATTATTTCAACAGATATTGCTAAAAATTAAACACAGATTGAAGATTCTTTAAAAATACTTTCGGCAAAATAGAAAGAAAGGTTTTTATACCTTTAACTTGATTTTTAAAAAAATATTTATAACAACACATAGAGGTGAATTATCAAAGGTTTTACTTATGAGAATGGGAAGCAAATAAAGATATCCACTACCTCTTCCATTCAACATTGTACTGAAGTCCTAGCCAGTGAAAGAAGATAAGAGAAGTAAATAAAAGTCAGAATTGGAAATAAAAAATATTTTCTTATTATTTACAGATGTGCTATTTCATGCCTCTGAGGGCCTTAGTAAATGTTGTTACTCTTACTAGGATGCCTTGCTAATAAAACATTAACTTGCTTCATCTTTCCATATTGAGTTGTCCATTTCTTTATTTCCGCATTGTTTTCTATTATACATGTTTCCCTAATGTTTTCTATTATAGTACCAATCACAATGAATGATAATTGTTAAAGTTTACTCACACCACTATGGCTTATTCAACTTATAGCCCATACCAACCTGATGTGTGGTTTGTCTTTAAAAAAATATGTATTACAACAAACTGAACTATAGGTATTTATGATCTAGAGGAAAGAATAGAAAGCAGTGATAAAATAAGCACATGAATAAAATAACACAAATGTAGCAAATATAGCATTATATTAGTGTTATGTTAACTCAAAAATGACAGCAAATTAAAAATATATAGTTTTACTTTGTTAGAGGCATATTTAGTAGTACATACCTAAACACAATGGTGGTGTAGTCCACATTCCATCTAAACAATAGGCCTCCCTAGATCCTTCTAGGAAATGGTGATCAAAACATCTGTATTCTACTGAAGAGCCATTTTCATAGGTGTCTACTGTTGAACTAATAATGACTCCATGTTTAATAAGAGGAGGAGATGTGCACATTCCTTTAGATTCTGCAAAAATAAGTTTTAAAGTATACAATGAATTGCTATAATGAACATCCAGTACTTTATAAGTGCTACAGAGACAGAGTCTCCCTCTGTCACCCAGGCTGGAGTATGGTGGCATGATCATGACTCACTGCAACCTCTGCCTCCCAGGCTCAAGTGATCCTCCTGTCTTAGCCTCCCAACTAGTTGGGACTACAGGTGCATTTTTCTTTTGTAGAGACAGGGTCTCACTATGTTGCTCAGGTTGGTCTTGAATTCCTGGGCTCAAGAAATCTGCCCACCTTGGCCTCCCAAAGTGCTGGGATTACAGGCGTGAGCCACTGCACCTAGCCATAAAGCCATTTTTTAGGCAGTTCTCAAATATTTTTAAAATATTGAAGATGTTTTTGCAATAATATTATACCATACAATGTATTTTTATAATTAGAATCCCACGTTATAGTGTTTACATGCATATTTAAAACTATGAGAGTATTAACAATCATGATTTTATTTCTCCCTAAGTGTATATGGGATTTTTCTAGAAGCCATGATTTCTGTATATATTATTTTCCTTTTCTTCCTTATTAAAAGTAATAGTCCCTATAGCCAGTGAGTACTGAGACAATGGGTCCCCAGAAAGCCCTAAGTAGAGCAATGCTTTACAGTGTTTGTTGTTGAGTGCTCACAAGAAGGTGATCAATTCTCTGATAGTCTGGCAACATTTATAAAACCTCTTGATTTTTTCCCTTCATAAAATTGACTTATTGGAATTAAAAGATGTCAGCATGGCCATCCTATATAGGTATATATGCTGATTGAAGTTTGGAAGTTGGATCACTCCTCTCAACTTTATAGATTAGAATATGATGGTGGTGAATTGGGGTCATAGGTATAAATTTTCTCTAAAGATCAGCGATGTTGAGCTTTTTCCTCATATGTTTGTTGGCCACATAAATGTCTTCTTTTGAGAAGTGACTGTTTATATCCTTTGCCTACTTTTTGATGGTGTTGTTCGTTTTTTTCTTGTAAATTTGTGTTAAGTTCCATGTAGATTCTGGATATTAGACCTTTGTCACATGGGCAGATTGCAAAAATTTTCTCCCATTCTGTAAGTTTCCTGTTCACTCTGATGATAGTTTCTTTTGCTGTGCAGAAGCTCTTTAGGTTAATTAGATCTCATTTGTCAGTTTTGGCTCTCATCGCAATTGCTTTTGGCATTTTCGTCATTAAGTATTTGCCCATGCCTATGTCCTGAATGGTATTGCCTAGGTTTTCTTCTAGAGTTTTTATGGTTTGGGGTTTTTACATTTAAATCTTTAATCCATCTTGAGTTAATTTTTGTATAAGGTGTAATCACAATGAGACACCATTTCACACCAGTCAGAATGGCAATTACTAAAAAGCCAAGAAACAATAGATGCTGGTAAGGCTGGGGAGAAATAGGAATGCTTTTACACTGCTGATGGGAATGTAAATTAGTTCAACCATTGTGGAAGACAGTGTGGTGATTCCTCAAGGACCTAGAACCAGAAATGAAATTCGACGCAGCAATTCCATTACTGGAATTGCAAACCACCATGGCACACGTATACCCATGTAACAAACCTGCACATTCTGCACTTGTGTCTCAGAACTCAAAGTAAAATAAAATAAAATAAAACAAAATTAAAAAGAATAATAATAAGAAAAATAGCAACAAACTATAAATAAATTTTCAACCGAGGTAGCAGATATTGGTCAAGTAAAGATACTTGCAGAGAACATTATTATTTTACCTTTTCTAGTACATAAAGGATATTTCACTTCTCCTCTGTTGCACTGCACAGATAATTCAGACAATGGGGTTAATGGAGATAAGTCATATCCCTGTTTACATACAAAATCTATTAAATCTCCATGTAAGACTTTCCCTTCATATTTCCACTTCATTTCTATGTTATTTCTGTTCATGTAATCCACATTAACAGTACATGGTTCTGTAAAACAAAATGCTCTTTTAAATTCTTTACTTGTCTGACAAATATAAAAGTGATATTTTTTAAAACAAAAATTATGACAAGTTTCAAAAGCAATATTTTATAATTGAAATCATAATTAAGGCTTCTCTCACACACATATATATATAAGAAAATATATACTTTATTACTATCAAATGAATCTATACATTATTGTCATAAACTAAAACCACTTAATTTAAAACATCAAAAATACTATTTAAGGGCATCAATCAGTTAGATTAATAATAATTTTCTTTCTATAAAATAAAAACCTTTAACTACCATGTAGAAAATAATAGAAAACCTGCTAATGAATAAAACCAAGACTCCTGCTCCCATGGAGCTTACCTTCTAACTGGGAGAAACACCTACAATACATAATAAATATAATAAAGACATGAATTGTATAATTTGTGGCTGATATGGTTTGGCTGTGTGCCTACCCAAATCTCATCTTGAATTGTAGCTCCCATAATTCCCATATGTCATGGGAGGAACCTGGTTGGAGGTAATTGAATCCTGGGGTGGGTCTTTCCCATGCTGTTCTCATTACAGTGAATAAGTCTCATGAGATCTGATGGTTTTATAAAGGGGAGTTTCCCTGCACATGCTCTCTTGCTTGCCACCTTGTAAGACGTTCCATGCTTCTCCTTTGTCTTCTACCATGATTGTGAGGCCTCCCCAGCCATGTGGAACTGTGAGTGCATTAAATCTCTTTCCTTTATAAATTACCCAGTCTCAGGTATGTCTTTATTAGCAGCATGAGAACAGACTAACACAGTGGCCATCTTTAAACTACAGCATAAGATAAATTAGATGAAAAAAAGAGTACTGGAGCAGGAGGGGGTAACAAAAGAGCTAGGTGAAGAGAAGTTGCACTTTTCAGTAAGGTGATTAGGGTAGGCCTAAATAAGAAGTAAAAAAGCTTGAAGGGGACTTTGCACAAAAGCTTGAAGGAGACTGAGTGAACCATGTCATTTTCTTATGAAAGAGTGTCCCAAGCAAAGGGAACAACCAGTGCAAAGGCCCTGAAGTGAGAGCATTCTTGGCTTGTTTGTGGAAGAGTAAGGAGACCAGAAAGACTGGAGTGATTAGAGCAGGGAAGAGAGTATGGAGAGGTTAGAGAGACTCTTAATGTCTGGAATAATAATTCCTACAGAGAAAATTCTATGCTTTATCATACTGTTGTGAATTTGTACTGATAGCCTTTCCAGTTTCAATAGTTACCAAGATATACAAAGCCCCTTTCTCTTGCCCTGATAACAATGATTAATCTTCATTTGGTATTTGCTTTGATTCATTAGGACCAAACCTAACTCTCTTGAGGCAGTTGTTCCAGATATAGAATGATGTATTTCCTTAAATGTTGTTATTTCCTTATGAGCTTGTTTCATTACCAGCTTTGCCATAAATATTTTAATCTAGTCTTTGTCCTTAGAGATTACTATATCTCCACTCAATGCAATATCAACCAAAGCATCAAAAACTTAATATCAAAAACATTTATAAAAATATGAGACCAATAGCAAAATTCTATGTGAATATGTATCTGTATCTGAATTTGAATGGGAATCGACTCCTAAGAATTACTTGAAAGGTGGAAACTACTAACAAAAGGTTGAAAGAGCTCAAGACTTAAAACATACACTTATATATACTTAAAAACACTATAAATAAAAATAAATTAAAAATAATTGCAATAAACATGATTCTCAATTGGATAAAATAATTTATATATAGATTTATAAGTATGAAAAAATGGCTAAACTATGAATAATTAATTCATGTAAAAAAACCTGTGGCTACTAGAAAGTTAAAAAATTCCAAATTAATTAATTCTTAAATAAATCAAATTAAAATAATTGTGCTTGCCTGCTTAACAAAAAATGTCAAGATTAAAATATTCAAAGTTAACAAAGATTAGGATGATTACTACTTTAATTCACTTATGGTAGGGTTAACAAAGCAGAACAAACTTTCTGATAGACAATTTGCCAATTAATAGAAAAAGAATTAAAATTCCTGATCTCATGATAATTATTTTTAACAAAAATAAATATGTTTAACATGTACAAAGATTTACTTGAAAGTGTACTGTTTGGAATATAAAAATGTTGAACACTAAACATCCATCAATAAACTGGTTAAATTACATATGTATATCTGCATTATGGAATACTATGCAGCCATTAAAGTATATATTGTAGAAGTATGACAAACCATGTTTACAATATATTTTGAGTGAAAAAATCTAAGATATATACCTCTGCATCATATCATAGCATTTTGTGGAGTGTGTGCTTGTGTGTGTAAAACATTTAGAAGACCATTTATTATCTAAGTCATTAGCAAACACTTTTATATAATCAACAAGATGTAACAAACGTGTCCATTCAGATGAGGATGCGGTGGTAAAATTTAGCAATATACTCTATATAATATACTCTATAATATATTAGCAATATACTCTACCAAGGAAAGAATAGGACTAATTATTCTTCTTGAAATGACATTCTGAGGGCAATACAAGCAGAGATATTGAGGGCTGTATACCAGGGAGGGAATTTCAGCTAGGAGAAAGACAACCCAAAAGCTAATTGGTCACAAAAATGTTAATATACTTAATGCCACTGAATTGTACACTTAAAAATAGCTACGGTGGTAAATTTTATGTTATGTATATTTTACCACAATAGAAAAAATACACTAATATTTTAGGGACTTTCTACTTAAAGAAATGAGAGAGAAAACACTTGTGAAAAAAGATTTGTACAAAATCATCATTTTCATGATATAAAACACTGTAAGAAAATCACATAAAAGTACAAACGTAGACATTCCATGTGTTCTCTTTCTTACCCAAGCAAACAGGTGGGGATGACCATTTTCCTTGTTCGCAACGAGATATTTTTGATCCCCTCAGTAAGTAATATTCATTGCATCTATATTCCACTGAGGATCCTGTTGCATAGCTTGCCAATATCCCGTCTGCAACAGCCCCATTCATTACAACAGGAGGATGCTTACAATTCTCATTATTTTCTAAGAAAAGAGGTTGTTTTAAAATTAATATGAGCTCATAACAATATACTATAGTAACTCATACTATAGTGTCTCGATATTTGTATTATATAATTTAGGACAATTGTTTTATAAATTCATTACAAATATGAAAAATTTTTTCAGCTCAAATATTTTTAAAATTTGCTAAGCAAGAGTTGACAGCAAATATGTTACCTAAAAACAACTATACGTATTTTTCTCTTTTCTCAATTGTGAAGGAATTATGATATACACATTTCTTAAACCTATAGAATGAGAAACTGTTCTTCAACCTAAAGATTATGGTCAATTCTAAAATTGCTCTTTGGCATTACCCCACTTTTATTTTCTTCTTTTTCATTCCTCTTCATCTCAGGTCTCAATAGACCCATGAAGGAAATATCAATTTTTTTCCTCTTTTTGGTATCTTTCTCTCACTTTATCTATTTCTTTAGCATCCTTCATTGCTTTTGTCTTATTTAATAAATATCCTAGATAAACATGTGTGTGGAGATGTTGCTCTGATCTGATTAAGAAATGAGATAGATGACAGGAAGAGTAGTCTCCAGGAATGATAGTGTAGCCTGGTGGTGCCTTTCAGTAAAATGAAAGACCAGGGACATGTCTCAGAAGGGCATAAGGTTCAGAATGGCCAGATGCAAAATATCAGCAGGACTTACCCAAGGTCAAGAACAGAATGCACTACCCTAACTTTGCAGGACATATGGGGAGAAGAAGTAGATAATGCTCATGGCCCGTCACTCAATCCACCATGCCCTTATTTACTTATCTAATGAAGCACATCGTCATTTATGTGTTGTCATTTAGAACTTACAGGTAATGGCATGACACAGATCAGATAACCGTGCTTAGCACTAGCGTTCAAAAAAAACTTTTGTTTAAGAATTCTTTACATTGACTTAAATTCTACAGATAGCTACACATACAGGCACACACACATGCACACATGCAAAGCAGAAGAGTAGGTGCTGTAGCAATGTGTTTCTAATTTGCCTAAGCAGTGGTCTTTTCCTAGGAATATTCAGATTAAAGTAACAGAATGGAAAATTTTACACCATAAGTTTAGCTACTGATGGTAAATGTAGCATACATACCAACACACTCAGGAGGAAGTGTCCATTTTCCACGATTACAAGTTATCTCATTCGATCCATGGAGAAGGTAGCCGCTTTTACATGCATATGTCACTTTATCCCCATTGTAATAAATCTTAGAGTGTAAATTTGCTGCACCATTTTCAATGAAGGGTGGTTCCTCACAGGCTACCTTCTCCTGTCCTTCTGAAAAGGTACAGTTGAAAGAGAACTGACCATTTAGCTACACATGCAGATTTCATTTTAGCAAAGCTTCTTCAAGGTGTTACTAACCAATGCATTTTGGAGGTTCTGTCCATTTTCCATCTTCACAACGTATTTCTGCTGACCCATGGATCTCAAAATTAAGTTCACATTCTATATGAACTATTTCTCCATGACGATAAGTTGTTGAATGTGTTTGAATTTTGGAGTTTATGGGCAGAGGTGGAGGAGGACATCTGTTTCTTCTTCCTTATGGAAAAAATTAATCAGCACCTTTAGTCATATAATTACAAAAAATAATAAAGATTAAATTAAAATATTCATCATGTCAAGCATCATAGAGAGAATGGCAGACTGATTCTAGGAGCATTCCTTTGATCCTCACCTCCTGATGTTAACTTCCTTGTGTGATACCCCTTTCCATGAGTAGGACCTGTGACTTGCTTCTAGCCCACAAAATACAGCAAAGGTGATGGATTAGTACGTGATTATGCACACATAATTATGTAACATCAGTTTTTAACGCCATTCTTGCCAAGAGACTCTCTATCCTTGCTGGTTTTGAAGAAACAAGAGGCTACATCATGAGCTTCCAAAGCAGAACGGCTGCAAGGCAAGGGGCAGAGGGCTGCCTTCAGTTAACAGCCACAAGAAACAGAGGCTCTCAGTTCAGCAGTCTGCAAAGCACTGAATGCTGCCAATAACTACAGTGAGTTTGGAAGAAGTCTTGCCCAGTCAAGCCTCAGATGAGACTGCAGTCCAGCTAACATCTTGATTGCAGCTTTGATAGCCATCGATGCAAGGAGTCGGTTAAGCCGCACCCAGACCCCCAACCTACACCCAATGGGAAATAATTTCTTTGTGTTGTTTTAACCTGCTGAGTTTGTGGTGACATTGTTACGCACCAATAGAATACTAACACAGCAGGCATTTTACATTCATTACCTCTTTTAGTCCTAAAATAACTTTATTAAGTAGGAACTATTATTTCTCCCATGTTATAGACAAACTAAAACTTATGAAGTAAATAAATTAATAGCATGTAGCAGATCTGTTCTTGAACCCACGTCTGTCTAAATTAAAGTCTCCTGCTCTAAAATACTGACCACACTACTTTCCTATTGCTGCTTTGATGAATTACAATTTAGTGGCTTAAAACAGCACAGATTTATCCTCCTACAGTCCTAGAGGCCAGAAGTCCAGAGTCAGTTTCACTGGACTAAAATCGAGATATCAGGAGAGCCACATTCCTGCTGGAGACTTTGGAGGAGAATCAGCTACTTTGCCTTTTCTAGCTTCTTGAAATCACCTGTATTCCTTGGCTCACAACCCCTTCCTCAAAACATTTCAACCTGTGGCTTCCATTGTCACATCTCCTGCTTCCTCTTCTGCAGTCAATCTCCCTCTGCCTCCCTTTTATAAAAGCATTTGTGATTATATTTAGAGTCTGGATAGATAGTTCCAGATAATATTCCTACCTTAAGATTGTTAACCTCAAAGTGTCTTGTACCGTGTAAGGTAACGTTTAATGGTTCTCAGTATTAGAATGTGGCTATATTTTGGGAGGAGTAAGAGAGATATAATTCAGCCCACAACTGAATTATATTGTTGTGGGCTGAATTATATTAGCCATTGTATGCCTAATGACTGTTTACCGGAAAAAACAGGCATGTTGTCATGCTGGCTAATTTGGAAGAGGAGAAGGGTATAAAAGGCCTTAAGTAGGTCTGCCATTTATTTTTGAAGTAGCACTTTGAGAGGCTGAGGCAGGCTGATCACCTGAGGTCAGGAGTTCAAGACCAGCCTGACCAACGTGGCAAAACCCTGTCTCTACTAAAAACACAAAAAAATTAGCTGGGCATGGTGGCCGACACCTGTAGTCCCAGCTACTCAGGAGGCTGAGGCAGGAGAATCACTTGAACCTGGGAGGTGGAGGTTGCAGTGAGCTGAGATCGTGCCACTGCACTCTAGCTTAGGCGACACAGCAGGACTCCATCTCAAAAAAATAAAAAATAAATAAGGAATAATAGACTTTAAAAAAATTTGCTTAAAAAATCTACTTCTCTACTACTATACCAAGGATGTCGAGCACAAATGAAAAATCATAAAATCTTTAAAGTTACTGTACAGTGCATTTAGGGAATTATGATAGTTCTGGCAATCCCACTGCATACCCATGGTCAGAGCCCTCATTTGTTTCCCCTAGCACCTGTTTCAAATCTTCACCACTTTCCTCCAAGTTCTACCTTCATGTCTTTCACCTGCCTGTCAATAGACCTTATATCCCATATTACAGAAAATAAAAAATGACTATCAAACCCTTTGCCTCACCCTATCCTCCCAATTCTCAAACTGCTACTTATCTCTTAAGACCCAACTTAAATATTGTCCATCACTTCTGTGAATGCTATTCCACAGCATACCAATCAGAATCTCTAATGTTTATTCCTGCACTTTGTACCTGAGTTGATTGTACCATTTGTCACATTATAGCAATTATTTTTTTCATATCTGCAATTACTGTTTTCATATCTTCTGCTAGTATAGGACCCTCCTCATATTAAATTGTAGGTTTGTTTAAATAACTATGGATGTCTTCTGACAGGTAATTGCATTACCTGTTTGGACACTTCCAGTAATAGAAATGTGACCATAGATATTACATTTTTGGGCAGCTTTTACAAGATGACCTCTTTTCCCATTTTCACTTCTGGGCATTATTCTTCTGCTTTTCCTGCTTTCTCTGCTTTCTACCTCACTATTTTGGAGATTAATTTTTACATCTGGAAATATGTGGCAAATTAAGAGAAAATATCCTTGCAAAGCTGCCAGATTGGGGTAATTAGTCCTAATAATTCCCAATAAGAAAAGTTATTCGTTATAATAAGGGATTTAAAATGTATAATAGATATTTTAAAATAATAAATTTAAAAGATATAGTCATTTACAAACTAAGACAAAACAAGATTTATTCAGGTGGGATATATTAAAGATTGCTGAAAATAGCACTGATTTAAAAGATAATATTTATTTTAAAAATAGGACTCAGGAAAAAAAATAGATATGACCACAGGAATTTTGTCAGAGCTAATAGAGATTAAAGCTGATAAAGACATGGCATTTTGCGAGTATTAAATTTAAAAATTTACCTTCGCATACAGGAGATTCTGGGTACCAACCAAAGTTATAGCATTGAATTAAATCAGATCCACTTAGATAATAATTTTCATGACAGAAAAACTGAACGACATCTCCTTCTTCATAGGTTTGCTTTACAGGATGAAAATAACCATTTTCAATTAATCTTAAAGAAGAGCACTTTAATTCTGCAAATAAAAGAATGAATAAAATTACAAACAAATGTTTATTTTTTCTGCTACAACAAAATGCACTATTTACATGACATAACTAGAATAGAAATTAAATTTGCCAAAAAGCTTATGAATTCATTTTATATATTTGTTAAATATCATTAGGCTTATTCTAATTTAATTCTGTGAGCTAAAATGAATTTATTCTACTTGAGAGCTTTAATTATCAAAGACTGCTATCAACATAATTAAAAATAAAGGCAAAAATGCATGAAAAGGTGAAACATAATGAGCATGACAACTTATATACACTTCTCTATGAGAAAAAGCTTTCAGAGTGAGAGTAGATTTTATTCCAAATGAGAACCTACTGGTACATTTTGGTGTGAGAGACCATCCGTATGTGAGACATTCTACCTCCTCTGTCTTCTTTCCTCCAGCTGTGTAGTAGCCAGTAGCACATTCGTATTGTACTTTGTCCTTCACTTTGAATGTTTTCTGTGTTGTGGAATAATTTCCATTATATAATTCAGGAGCCAAACATGTTTCTAAAATTATAAAAATTATTTATTTTATAAACTTTTTTAATAACCTAGATTATAAAAAATCTCAAAATATGGTTTTACAAATCTTAAGAATACATGGTAAAATCAACTCTTAGCAAAATTGAAAAATAGCCCCAATTTTTCTTTGCCTCTATTCTCTTCTTCATACACCTTGTGACCTAACTCTACCAGTTTTCTGTTTTTAAAATTCTAGTCTACAAGTGCTTGACCAAAGGCCAAAATTCAACTAAAGGCTTGTGCAGTAGCAATTGTGAAAGTATGTGCTGTCTATGCATTTTTACAATTTAAACAACTTACTAACAAAGTATACATATATTTAAATTATTGAACTATTTTTAAGTATATCTGACATTGGTTCACAATATAAAATAATGTACATGATCTTAAATTCTTCTGTAATAAAGGAAATAGTGACATATAAAGAAAAAGCTTCTTTCATTTTATTCCATTCCAATTCCTTTTATTGATGCAAAGTAGGAACTATTGGCGTAGGTGGGTTGTAGGGATTGAGAACATTTGGATTAAGGAATCACCTAGTACTTGAGAAAAGCAATGTAATATCAACTTCCTGCATTGTAGACATAATGAAAAATAAATTCTATTAAATAATAGATATCAATATAAGCTTCAATATATTCAATATAAGCTTGATAAGCACTTATCTTCAGTTTTAGGAAATGATTCTTATACCATGTTCTTTCCTACAGGTTGGTTGAGAAGACCATCCATCAGAGAGACATTGAACCACTTCTTCATCCTTCCCTCCAGTGGTTTTGTACCCTGAAGCGCAACCATAACGCATGTTCTCTTGAATTTTATACAATAACTTTACATCAGAGATGTAACCATTACTCAGGTCAGGCTTAGTGCATTTTTCTATGGGAAAAAAAATTATTTAACTTAATGATGAAACTAAGCTTGTCTTTTACTAAATTGTAAAATTAAGCCAAAAGTATAATGTTATTATTGGCGATTTCATTTTGGAAATATCTGCATAATTTTTTTGAAAATGGATTCAATTTAACACTGACTCTCTTTGTATTTACTAATTTTAGTTCTTATAGTAATTTCTACCCCTACCACATCTACTTCTAGATAGGTTTACTAGATATATCAACCACAATAGCCATATTCAACATCCTCTTTTAAACGAAACTGGCTCAACCAAAGCCCCTTACTCTGGGTCACCTGCCCTAGTGGAAGATCATTGATAGTTTGATGATAGTGTAGCCTGATATAAAATAATGAAATGAGTCAATTAGATTACCTTCTCACAACTTTGAACTCAAACTTTCAATTCAAAATTGAAAAACACATTTTTCAATGGGTATCATGAGAGAAGTTGGCACATGAAGAGAGATGAGTCTTACAAATGATAAAGCATTAGAGTAGCAATCTTGCCCTTCCAGAGGCCAGAGTTTCAAGCATTTTTCTGGCATCTTATGCTTAATTATCAAAATAAGTTTCTTGTTACTTAAAGTAAATTACCTCTCTTTGCCTTGCAATATGATAATTTCAGTTATTACCCTATTCCCTTCAACAGAGTATTATTAAAAACAGATACAGAAAATAACATTTTAATGTAAAAGCATTATTTACTGGATTTCAAATTATGCCTTCATTTTGTAGAAAGACAGATTGCTAGTGATTTTGTTCTTATCTACTAAAAGGTTTAACCGCTTTCCATTTTTATTGGACCCCTATTTTTATATACAAATTTCTTTGAGTATTGAAACATTGAGTGACATATCCAGCTGACTTACTGAAGCACCTTGGCTCTGGAGACCAGCCTTCTGTTGTACACGTGGTTTGCTCTTCTTGTCTTCCACTTTCAGTGGTATAACCAGCCAAGCAGAAAAATGACAATTTTTTGTCTATGCTCATTGGAAAGTAAAAGCTTTTAAAAGTATAGTAATATTGGGCAATTCTTCCATTTTCCACATGAGGAAAACCACAGGGTTTCTCTGAAATGAGTAAATGTCAAGCTGAAAATGGAAAAACAAATCTAAAAACATAAATTTGTAATCAGGTGACAATACAAACTAAAAGTTTTTAGAGACACTTCAACTAGTACTTATTTTTCTTACTTAAATTTTTAAGGTACTTTTGTGACAACTCAAGCAGTCCTTTTATCATAATTGATCTGCAAATGACTTTAAACATCCAACAGTCATGATAAAATTTAGCAGACCACTTTTTCAGGGAAGCTTTGCATAACTTCGTAGAACAGTACTTTTTTTTTTCTTCCTAGACACAGAGTCTTCCTCAGTTATCCAAGCTTCAGTGCAGTGCTGAAATATAGCTCACTGCCACCAGGAGCTCCTGGGCTTAAGCAAGCCTCCTCTCCTGTAGCTAGGACTGCAGGCACATGCCACCACATCTGGCTAATTTTTGTTTTATTTTTTGTAGAGATGAGGGGTCTCACTCTGTTGCTCACGCTGGTCTCAAACTCCTGGACTCAAAGGATCCTTCTGCTTTGGCCTCCCAAAGCACTAGGATTACAAGACTTGAACCACTCCACCCTGCCTGCACTTCCTAATAGATATGTATTGTAAGTCACTTATGTAATTTAAAAATTTCTAATAGTCACATTCATAAAAATACTAAGGAACAATTGAAGTTAGTTTTAATAATAGGTTTTTATTTAACCCAATATATTGAAAATATTTTACATTCTTTTTTTTTCTAACTCTTTAAAATCCACTACATATTTATACTTACAGAATATCTGATCTTGAACTAGTGACATTTTAAGTACTGTCTCCAATAGCTATATGTGGCTGATGGCCACTGTATTGGACAGTACAGTTCAGGAATAGGTAAAGTTTCTCCTTAACATATGCTAACTCATAAAAAATTTTGAAATAAATAGCATTAAAAGAAAAAACAGACAACCAAGTAAAACAAAGCAATACTTGGCAAGAACTTGGCAAAATAGGATATTTAAATGGTTAGAGACCTGGTACTTAGCATTACTAGTCATCAGGGAAATGAAAATTTAAACCACCATGAGATACTACTGCATATCCAATAGAACTGCTGAAATGAAAAAGACAAGCTATCTCAATGATTGTGAAGAAGTGAAGAAACTGGAACTCGCATATTTCTACAACTGAAAGTATAAATCAGTCCAAACTCTATGAGAGAACACCTTTGCAATATATATTGGGGTAAAACATGTACAAACCATATTACCCAATAAAAAAAGCACATATTTGTATACCAAAAGACATGGAAAAAAATGCTTATAGTGGCAGTATTCATATAGTCCCAAACTGGGAACAATCTAAATGCCCATAAATAATAGAAAAGATAAACACATTTTAGACTATGCATACAATGGAATATTATCCAACAACAGAAATGAACAAATGGTGAATCTCATAAACATAATATTGAGTGAAAGAAGCCAATCACATATGAATTAATGTATACATTTGCATAACTTTTTAAAAGAAAACAAACTAATCCATGATAATAGAAGTCAGAATGGTTACCTTTGGGGTTTAGTGCCTTAGAAGGATCATATTTCTGGGGTACTATCACTGTTCTATATCTTGATCTGGATGGTGTAAAATTTTGTAAAAACTATATAAGTGTATCCTGTGATTTTTGCATTTTTCTGGATATGTTATACTCCAAATAAAACATATATTTTAAAAATATATCTTTATGTTGAAGATCTTAAAGTC
The DNA here is from genome assembly GCF_000001405.40 of Homo sapiens. NCBI lineage: Eukaryota > Metazoa > Chordata > Mammalia > Primates > Hominidae > Homo > Homo sapiens. The sequence continues at coordinate 829,917 of NW_025791754.1, forward strand.
ATAAAAACACTTAAAAGAAAGAAATGCTCGAACAATCCTAGGAGCTGTGGTGGGAAGAAACATGGGCAGTCATGGATGGAAGAAGGCCTGGATCCAGTGTGATTACTACGGCTTCAATGCCTTGGTTGATCACTGTATACCTTAATGCTACTATGAGACATAAAATACTAGTAGTGCTAGCCTAGGTTTGAAGGAAATGGATGTGGAATGATGAGCAACAAAACTTCCACTATCTGATGGAGCAGACAGAAAAACATGGGCTGGATAGTCCCCATTCCTTGAGAATTATTCTCACCATTTTTTCACACCCAAGCACCAAAGGAATTTACAATAAAAAGAGTCTTCCAAAATAGCAGTGCAATGGTGAATACACAAGAAATTTCCCTGAGGGGCACAGTTGCTTGTCAGGGAGGGGCAGCAAAGTATTCTCTGCACAACAATCCTAGGTTGTGGCTTTAAAGACTCTCTGTCCTGGGACATCTCCCTCCACCACCAGGATAGGCACATTATTTGTTAAGGTAGCTGGAATGCCTTGGAGAATATGAATTCCTGACAAAAAATTAATGAGAAATGTGAGGAATATACTAATCACATATAAACCAGGAAATCACAGATGTCTGAACATATTAAAAAAAGTACATGAAGCGATGGACACACTTACTACTGATCAGAGAATGGTAAATAAATAAAAATGGGATATCACTTTATGAATAACCATATAGCAACCAGTACAAAAATGGACAATATGAGGTGTTGGTGAGAATGATGAGGAGCAACAATTTACATCCTCTCTCAGAGATGATATACTTCAAAACTGCCATTCTGCAAAAGTAATCTCTCATTACAGAAATCAAGTACAAGAATAGACTCAATAATGCTATCTGTGAGTGAATACAGACTGATGACATTCTTACAGAAAGATAAGTTGGTTATATTACAATATTCATTCCAGAGCTATTTGTGGTTGAGAGAGCTAGAGTAACATGTTAAAACATTGTAGTAGGTCCCAGGGGAAATGGACTTCAAGATTAGGAATAAGGGGATAAAATGTGTAAGTAAAGCAAGAGTGAGACCTTTCATAGGCCAATAATACTTGCATACCATGAAATGAGAAACACAATTAATTCAATTCTTGTCCCTGAAGTGCACAATGGGAGTTGAGAGAAGCATGCAAAAATAAAATCATTGTCTTGGTCTTCAAGCAGCTTACTTTTTTTTTTGTTGTGTAAAATAGCATTATAACCTTATAATAATTAGAAAATTAACTAGAATATTGCAATGTCTTTATGGTATAGATAACAGACAATTATATCTGCTGGTATTTCCCTATTTAGACAGAAAAATAAAATCAAAAGAAATTCATGCAAAAATCATCCTATTATAGAATTAAAAGTATAAAATAAGATTAATTCTGTGTCTTTCACTTTTATAATTTTAATTATAGATGTTTTGGTAGAAAATTTATAGTTAACTATTCAACTAAAACACAGTTAAAACTTATGTATTTAATTTCAACAAATTCCCAAAAATGTTTATTTTAGAAAAGCTGTATTGCTGTAGCTTCCTTCTTTGTATGTTCACTCTTGCTAATGCTAAGTGTCCTCCCTGGATTCTTCATCCTATGGCCTGATAATATTGATAATGTTCCTGAACAACATACCCATGTACACTGCCTAGCTTCCACTCGCACACTAATCTTACACATTGGGCAATCTGACTATAAAGCTTTCTAATAGGGAGTCCATAGGTATTGGTTTGTTTGGAAAGTCCTGATTTACATGTGTTGTCCAAACAGTTATTAATAGAGCCCCTCTTTTACTCTCTAAGTGTCCCTGTTTGTACAAGCAATTATATGGTTCACCTACTAATCACTACTTAATGTCTCCAACAAATGAATAATTCATTGTGATAAAAATCAAAGTCTCAAAAGTAAAAAATATTTATGGCTATTTCCTTTTCAAATTTCCCACATTAAACTCTCACCTTATGAACAGAATTAAAATTGTACAAGTTTTGTCAGTATTAGGAATGGATTCTAGCATAAATTTAGAATTAAAGTTAACATGTGACTTCGAAATGGACATATTGTTAACCTGAAAACCTTTTCGAAGTATTTAGATCCTGGTCTCCTATGCCCCCTAGAGATACAAGGGTTTTTGTTTTGTTTTGCTTTTCTGACTTATGCTACTGTAAGAACACTTTACTAATTTTGCTCAAAGGAAAAGGTCTAAATATTATAAAAAGTTATATTTATAAAATATGTTATAAAATTGATAATGAAAATAGAAGAGTATATTAAAACTTGAGTTGTATAAATATTAGAATCTCCATTTGTATGTTTTAGAGAATAAAGAATATTAAGAATTAATTTTACCTTCTGCATAGAGTTCTCCTGAGATTATCAATATGATGATAAAAGTCAGGTTTTTCAACCTCATCTTCAGTGGTGTGCTTCACAAAGATTTTAACAATTCTAAGCACTAGGAACTTGTCATTAAGTACACAATACTTCTCTTGAGGAAAAAGTTAATAATTTATAACCTCTGTCTAAGTCCTTTTGTAACGAGTCTTATATTTCACTTAAAATATTTTGAAATAATGTTAAAATAACACAACTATATTAATTGACATTACTTACCATGTCAGAGTCCAGTAAGAGCATGATAACTGATTAGGGCAACAATAGCAGCAGAATAAATAATAAATTATAGCAGCAGAATAAATAATACTAGGTAAATTTTCAACCTAAGTTCCCAATTGTAAATTCATAGAGTAAAGTTCACTTGAGGCCATAGATCTTTACTAATATTGATCAGGTAAAAAGATGAACTTAGGAACATGAGATAACAGATACCTGATGTTGAAATATGTTGTTGCCTAGACTGCACTCCTTAAAGAGATACAGAACCATAGTTGTCTCAATGATAGAATAGTATTACTTATAATAGTAGTGTTTGACATTTAGAGAGTTTTTACTTTGTGGCAGGTGGTGAGATCAGCACTGTGCTATATCAACATTCATTCATGAGAAATGTTTAGAACGTCCATGATAATGGCAGCACATGTAACAGTTTTGAGGTATTTAGCAGTGAAAAAACTGGATTAAAATTATTGCCCTCATGGAGTTTACATTCTAATGAGTTTTAATTTAAAATACAAAATAGGAAAAAATGGTGGATAGGAGGCAGGACTAACTTGCAGCTCCCACTTGGATGGACAGAGCAGGATGTGGAGACTCGCATTGTGAACTTTTGCTCCAAGAACTGCTGCAAGGATATAACAGGAAAGCCAAGATAATCCACAGACCCTCTGAAGAAAGTATATTGCTCCTGCATGACCCAGAAAATAGCCCACATACTGTGAATGCCCAAACTGTGAAAAGTGTGAAAGGGGTATTGTCCACCCCTGAACACACACCCTTGGGGAACCTGAAGGTCTAGATCACAGGAGAAGGATTTGACCTTACCTGGAGCTCAGACAATTTAGAGAGCTGAGCGAAATACAGGGGTAGAGGAAGCAAAGGGTAAAGCCCCATCGTCTCTGTGGGTCCCCAGAGAAGCCATTTCTGACTTGTCTCACAGGGGCTGCCGGAGGAACTGGGAAAAGACCACAGGGAGAAGGAAACCTCCAGCTGAACTTAGTAACAATTCCAACCGAACACAAACTTTCCTGTCCAGAACTCAGGAAAGGGCGTGAATCTGGTGTGCAGACTTAACAGGTAGGGAGGCACAAAAGTCTGGCTTGCATTCTCAGCTGGGAGGCTAGTAGCCTGGGGCAAGTTCTCAATCCTGCTCCCCTACTGCCTGGAAACAAATTCGGTGCTTTTTGGGGGAACACAGTAGAAGTGAGATTTGCTTGTTGGGTTGTGTGAGAGCTGGGTGAGGTCTGTAACTGCCAGCTTTCCCCCACTTCCCTGACAACCTGCATGACACAGAAGAGGCAGCCATAATCCTCCTGGGAAGGTAACTCCATTAACCTGGGAATCACACCCCCATTCCCCACAGAGCCACAACAAGCCCCACCCAAGAAGACTCTGAGCTCAGACATGCCTAACCCTGCCCCCACCTGATGGTCCTTCCCTACCCACCCTGGTAGCTGAAGACAAAGGTCATATTCTCTTGGAAGTTCTAGTGTCCCACCCACCACCTGATCCTCCCCTATATACCACAGCTGATGCTCTCATGAAAGCACTACCTCATGGCAGTGTGTCTGGAATTGGTTCCTTCCAATGGGTTCTTGGTCTTGCTGACTTCAAGAATGAAGCTGCGGACGCTTGCGGTGAGCATTACAGTTTTTAAAGATGGTGTGTCCGGAGTTTGTTCCTCTGATGTTCAGATGTGTCCAGAGTTTCTTCCTTCTGGTGGGTTCCTGGTCTTGCTGACTTCAGGAGTGAAGCCGCAGACCTTCACAGTGAGTGTTACAGCTCTAAAAGATGGTGCGTCCGGAGTTGTTTCTTCCTCCTGGTGGGTTCGAGGTCTTGCTGACTTCAGGAGTGAAGCCACAGACCTTCGCGGTGAGTGTTACAGCTCATAAAGGTAGTGCAGACCCAAAAAGAGAGCAGCAGCAAGATTTATTGCAAAGAGCGAAAGAACAAAGTTTCCACAGCCTGGAAGGGGACCAGACCAGGTTGCTGCGGCTGGCTCGGGTGGCCAGCTTTTATTCCCTTATTTGGCTCCGCCCACATCCCGCTGATTGGCACATTTTACAGAGTGCTGGTTGGTCTGTTTTTACAAAGTGCTGATTGGTGCATTTACAAACCTTTAGCTAGACACAGAGCGCTGATTGGTGTGTTTACAATCCTTTAGCTAGACAGAAAAGTTCTCCAAGTCCCCATTCGACCCAGGAAGTCCAGCTGGCTTCACCTCTCAGCAGGAGGCCAACCAGCACCAAACTAGTGCATCAAACAACTACAACTAAGGACCCTCACAGAGTTCCTTTCACTCCCCTGCCACCTCTACTGGAACAGGTGCTGGTATCCATGACTGAGAGAACTGAAGACAGTTTACATCACAGGACTCTATGCAGACAACCCCCAGTACCAGCCCAGAGCCTGGTAGCCCTTCTGGTGGCTAGATCCAGAAAAGTAATAATAATCACTACAGTTTGGCTCTCAGGAAGTCACATCCCTAGGAAAAGGGGGAGAATACTACATCAAGGGAGCACCCCGTGGGACAAAAGAATCTGAACAGCAGCCTTGAGCCCCAGATCTCCCCTCTGACATAGCCTACCCAAAAGAGAAGGAACTAGAAAAACAATTTTGGTATTATGACAAAACAAGGTTCTTTAACACCACCCAAAAATCACACTAGCTCATCAGCAATGGATCCAAACCAAGAAGAAATTCCTGAACTGCCAGAAAAAGAATTCAGAAGTTTGATTATTAAGCTAATCAAGGAGGCACCAGAGAGAGGTGAAATCCAACTTAAGGATATCAAAAAAATGACACAAGATATGAGCGGAGAAATCTTCAGTGAAATAGATAGCATAAATAAAAAACAGTCACAACTTCAAGAAATAAAGAACACACTTAGAGAAAAGCAAAATGTACTGGAAAGTCTCAGCAATATAATAAAACAAGCAGAAGAAAGAACTTCAGAGCTTGAAGACAAGGTTTTCGAAGTAATCCAATCCAAAAAAGACAAAGAAAAAAATTTAAGTGAATAAAGCCTCCAAGAAGTTTGGGATTATGTTAAATGACTAAACCTAAGAATAATTGGTGTTCCTGAGGAAGAAGAAAAATCTGAAAATTTGGAAAACATATTTAGGGAAATAATTGAAAAAAAAAAACTTCCCTGGCCTTGCTAGAAATCTAGCCATCCATACACAAGAAGCTCAAAGAACACTTGGGAAATCATCATAAAAATATCATTACGGCCGGGCACAGTGGCTCATGCCTGTAATCCCAGCACTTTGGGAGGCCGAGGGAGGTGGATCATGAGGTCAGGAAATCAAGACCATCTTGGCCAAAATGGTGAAACCCTGTCTCTACTAAAATACAAAAAAAAAAAAAAAATTTAGCTGGGCATGGTGGCATATGCCTGTAACCCCAACTACGTGGGAGGCTGATGCACGGCAATTGCTTGAACCCAAGAGGTGGAGGTTGCAGTGAGTTGAGATCGTGCCACTGCACTCCAGCCTGGCGACAGAGCAAGACTCCATCTCAAAAAAAAAAAAAAAAGATTATTGCAGCTAAGTGTGGTGGCTTATGCCTGTAATCTCAACACTTTGGGAGGATGAGGTGGGCAGATCACGAGGTCAAGAGATCAAGACCGTCTTGGCCAACATGGTGAAACCCCATCTTTACTAAAAATACAAAAATTAGCTGGGCGTGGTGCCATGCCTGTAGTCCTAGCTACTCAGGAGGCTGAGGCAAGAGAATCACTTGAAGCCAGGAGGCAGAGGTTGCAGTGAGCTGAGATCGCGCCACTGCACTCCAGCCTGGCAGCAGAGCGAGACACCATCTCAAAATAAATAAATAAATAAATCTTCACCTAGGCACATAGTCATCAGTTTATCTGAAGTCAAGACGAAAGAATCTTAAGAGCTGTGAGGCAAAAGCACCAGGTAACATACAAAAGAAAACCTATCAGATTCACAGCAGATTTCTAAGCAGAAATCCTATAAGCTAGAAGGGATTGGGGACCTATCTTCAGCCTCCTTAAAAAAAATAATTATCAGCTAAGAATTTTGTATCCAGAAAAGCTAGGCTTCATAAATGAAGGAAAGATACAGTCTTTTTTAGACAAACAAATGCTGAGAGAATTTGCCACTACCAAGCCAGCACTACAAGAACTGCTGAAAAGAGCTCTAAATCTTGAAACAAATCCTGGAAACACAACAAAACAGAGCTTCATTAAAGCATGAACCTCACAGGACCCATAAAACAAAAATACAGTAAATAAATAAATACTTAAATAAATAAAATCAAGGTATTCAGGCAACAAATAGCATGATGAATGGAATGGTACCTCACATTTCAATACTAATGTTGAATGTAAATGGCCTAAATGTTCCACTTAAAAGATACAGAATTGCAGAATGGGTAAGAATTCACCAACCAACTATCTGCTGCCTTTAAGAGACTCACCTAACACATATGGACTCACATAAACTTAAGGTAAAGGGGTGAAAAAAGACACCCCATGCAAATGGACACCAAAAGTGAGCAGGAGTAGCTATTCTTATATCAGACAAAACAAACTTCAAAGCAACAGCAGTTAAGAAAGACAAAGAAGGACATTATATAATGATAAAAGGCCTTGTCCAACAGGAAAATATCACAATCTTAATTATACATGTACCTAACACTGGAACTCCCAAATTTATAAAACAATTACTACTAGACCTAAGAAATGAGACAGACAGCAACACAATACTAGTGGGGGACTTCAATATACCACTGCACTAGATATGTCACCAAGACAGAAAGTCAACAACAACAACAACAACAAAATGGATTTAAACTATACCCTGGGACAAATGGACTTAGCAGATATATACAGAAGATTCTACCCAACAACCACAGAATATACATTCTATTCATCAGCACATGGAACTTTCTACAAGATAGACCATATGATAGGCCACAAAATGAGCCTCAATAAATTAAAAAAAAAAATTATGTCAAACACTCTCTCAGACCACAGTGGAATAAGGTGAAAATTAACTCCAAAAGGAATCTTCAAAACCATGCAAATACATGGAAATTAAATAACCTGCTCCTGAATGATCATTGGGCCAACAATGAAAGATGGAAATTAAAAAATTATTTGAACTGAATGACAATAGTGACATAACCTATCAAAACCTCTGGGATACAGCAAAAGGTGGTGCTAAGAGGAAAGTTCATTGTCCTAAAGGCCTACATCAAAAAGTCTGAAAGAGCACCAACAGATAATTTAAGGTCACACCTCAAGGAACTAGAGAAATAAGAACAAACCAAACCTAAGCCCAGCAGAAGAAAGGAAATAACCAAGATCAGAGCAGAACTAAATGAAATTGAAACAAAAAAAATTGTTTTAAATATGAATGAAACAAGAAGCTGGTTCTTTGAAAAGATAAATAAAATTGATAGACCATTATATTAACCAAGAATAACCAAGAAAAGAAGGAATAAAATCCAAATAAGTTCAATTAGAAATGAAACGGGAGATAATACAACTGACACCACAGAAAAAGATCAGTCAAATCTACTATGAACACCATTACATGCATAAACTAGAAAACCTAGAAGAGATGGGCCGGGAGCGGTGGCTTACACCTGTAATCCCAGCACTTTGGGAGGCCGAGGCGGGAGGATCACGAGGTCAGGAGATTGAGACCATCCTGGCTAACACAGTGAAACCCCGTCTCTACTAAAAATACAAAAAAAAAAATTAGCCGGGCATGGTGGTGGGCACCTGTAACAGCTCCCAGCTACTAGGGAGGCTGAGGAAGGAGAATGGCGTGAACCTGGGAGGCAGAGCTTGCAGTGAGCCAAGATCCCGCCACTGCACTCCAGCCTGGGCAACAGAGCAAGACTCCATCTCAAAAAAAAAAAAAGAAAAAGTAAAAGAAAAAGAAAACCTAGAAGAGATGAATAAATTCCTGGAAAATACAACCCTCCTAGCTTAAATCAGGAAGAATTAGATACCCTGAACAGACCAATAACAAGCAGTGAGATTGAAGTGGTAACAAAAAAATTACCAACAACAATTCCAGGGCCAGGGATTCACAACAGAATTATACCAGACACTCAAAGAAAAATTGGTGCCACTCCTATTGACACCATTTCACAAGACAGAGAAAGAGGGAATCCTCCCTAATTCATTCTATGAAGCCAGTATCACCCTAACACCAAAACCAGGAAAGGACATGACAAAAAAAAAGAAAACTACAGGCCAATATCCCTGGTGAACACAGAAATAAAAATCCTTAACAAAATACTAGCTAACTGAATCCAATAACATATCAAAAAGATAATCCACAATGATCAAGTGGGTTTCATACTGCAGGGATTGTTTAACATACATACCCAAGTCAGTAAATGCGATACACCACATAAACAGAATTAAAAACAAAATCACATGATCATCTCAGTAAACACAGTAAAATCATTTGACAAAATCCAGCATCCCTTTATGATTAAAACGCTTAGTGAAATTGGCATACGAGGGACATACCTCAATGTAGTAAAAGCCATCTATGACGAATCCACAACAAACATAATACTGAATGGGGAAAAGTCGAAAGCATTCCCTCTGAAAACTGGAACAAGATAAGGATGCCCACTCTCACCAGTTCTCTTCAACATAGTGCTGGAATTCCTAGCTAGAAAAATCAGACAAGAGAAAGAAATAAAGGGAAACCAAATTGGTAAAGAGGAAGTCAAACTTTCACTGTTTACTGATGATATGATTGTATATCTAGAAAACCCTAAGGACTCCTCCACAAAGCTCCTGGAACTGATGAAAGAATTCAGCAAAGTTTCTGTACACAAAATTAATGTACACAAGTCAGTAGCTCTCCTATACACCAACAGCAACCAAGCTGAGGATCAAATCAAGAACTCAACTCCTTTTACAATAGCTGCAAGAAAAAAAAAATACAAAAAATACTTAGGAATATACCTAACCAAAAAGGTGAAAGGCCTCTACAAAGAGAACTACAAAACACAGCTGAAAGAAATCATAGATGACACAAATGGAAACACATCCCATGCTCATCGATGAGTGGAATCAATATTGTGAAAATGACCATACTGCCAAAAGCAGTTTACAAATTCAATGCAATTCCTATCAAAATACCATCATCATTCTTCACAGAACTAGAAAAAACAATACTAAAGTGTATATGAAACCAAAAAGAGAGCCCACACACCCAAAGCAAGACTAAGCAAAAAGAACAAATCATTTGGAGGCATCATGTTACCTGACTTCACACTATACTATAAGGCCATAGGCACCAAAACATCATGGTACTGGTATAAAAATAGGCACATAGACCAATGGAACAGAATGGAGAACCCAGAAATAAACCCAAATAGTTACAGCCAACTGATCTTCAACAAGTCAAACAAAAACATAAAGTGGGAAAGGACACCCTATTCAACAAATGGTGCTGGGATAATTGTCAAGCCATATGTAGGAGAATGAAATTGGATACTCATCTCTCACCTTACACAAAAAAAATCAACTCAAGATGGATCAAGGACTTAAATCTAAGACATGAAACTATAAAAATTCTAGAAGATAACATTGGAAAAACCCTTTTAGACATTGGCTTAGGCAAAGACTTCATGACCAAGAACCCAAAAGCAAATGCAACAAAAACAAAGATTAATAGATGGGACTTAATTAAACTAAAGAGCTTCTGCATGGCAAAAGGAACAGTCAGCAGAATAAACAGGGAGAAAGTCTTCACAATCTATGCATTTGTCAAAGGACTAATGTCTAGAATCTACAAAGAACTTAAACAAATAAGCAATAAAAAAAAAAAACAATCCCATCCAAAAGTAGTCTAAGGACATAAACAGACAATTCTCAAAAGAAGATATACAAATGGCCAACAAATGTGTGAAAAAATGTTCAACATCACTCATGATCAGGAAATCCAAATCTAAACCACAATGCAATACCACCTTACTCCTGCAATGGCCATAATAAAAAAATAATAATAATAGATGTTGGTGTGGATTCAGTGAAAAGGGAACACTTCTATACTGTTGGTGGGAATGTAAACTAGTACAACTACTGTGGAAAACAGTGTGGAGATTCCTTAAAGAACTAAAAGTAGAACTACCATTTGATCCAGCAATCCCATTACTGGTTATCTACCCAGAGGAAAATAAGTCATTATACAAAAAAGATACTTGCACAAGCAGGTGATGTTAATAACATCACAATTCACAATTGCAAAAATATGGAACCAGCCCAAATGTCCATCAACATCAATCAATGAGTGGATAAAAAATTGTGATATATATACAGGATGGAATACTACTCAGCCATAAAAAGGAATGAGTTAATGGCATTCACAGCAACATGAATGGAACTGGAGACAATTATTCTAAGTGAAGTAACTCAGAAATGGAAAGCCAAATATCATATGTTCTCACTCATAATTGGGAGCTAAGCTATGAGGATGCAAAGGCATAAGAATGATACAATGGATTTTGGGGATTCTGGAGAAAGGTGGAAGGGGGCTGAGGGATAAAACACTACAAATTTGGTTCAGCGTATACTGGTTGGGTGATGGGTGCACCAAAATCTCACAGATCACTGCTAAAGAACTTACTCATGTAACCAAATACAGCCTGTTCCCCCAATAGCCTATGGAAATAAAAATAAAATAAAATAGAGTACAAAATAATTCTGCAAGGCAGAAGCTATTATTATTTCAATTTTGTATTTTTTATTAAATGTATTAACAGAAAAGTGTACATATGTTAAGAATTCTCACAAGTCTAAGACATCCATGAATCCACAACCCAGAACAAAGAAGGAATATACCAGCACCCCAAAATCCCCCTACCAAGTTACTGCCTACATCTACCCTAGTGTTAAACATTATCTTGACTTCTAATAACATAGATCAATCAGTAGTTTTATACTATATAAATGGAATCATATGGGAAATACATGTATATTTTTATGTCTGGTTCCTTTTGTTTAACATTTTGGTTCTGAGATTTATCCATTTGAGGATACAGTAGATAGCACCTTTTCTAAATAGTATTGCATTCTGTAAATATGCCATAATTTATCCATTCAACTATTTATGTAAATTTGGGTTACTTACAATTTATAAAAATCATTGACATCTGCTTATTTTCAAATATTTTTTTCACACAAAACCTCTACCTAGATGCTATCATTAACATTTTACTATCGTTTTCTTACTAATTTTTAAATGCTTCAATTAACCTAATTTTTCAACAATAGGTCTCCAGAATGTATTCATTTTGCATAACTGAAACTTTGTTGCCTTTGACCAAAACCTCTTTATTTTCTCTTCCCTGCAATCCCCTAGCAACCACCACCATTTTACTCTCTGTTTCCACTTGTTTGACTGTTTTAAATTCCACACATAAATGAGAGGATGGAGTATTTGTCTTTCTGTGTCTAGTTATTTCACTCCACATAATGTCCTCCAGGTCCATCCTTGTTGCTGTCAGTGGCAGGATTTTCTTCCTTTTTTAGACTGTATAATATGTCATTGTATGCATATAAAGTTGAGCCTTAAAAAAGTGGGGGTTAGGGCTGCTGACTCTCTGCACAGTCAAAATTCTACATATAACTTGACTCTCCCAAGACTTAACTACTAATACCATGTTGTGAACTGAAAGCCTTACCAATAACACAAATAGATGATTAACACACTTTTTTTATTATATGTTATAGACCATATTCTTACAATAGAGTAAGCTAGAAGAAAGAAAATGTAACTAATAAAATCATAAAAGGAGGAAATATATTTACTAAGTGAAAGTGGATCATCATAAAGGCTTTATCCTTGTCATCTTCATTTTGAAAAAAGGAGGAGTTATTCTTGTTGTCTCAGGAGTGGCAGAGGCAAAAGAGGTGGAAGAAGTGGAAGTGGAAGCAGGAAAGGCAGGCAAACTTTGTGTAACTTTATGGAAATGCATTGTAATCTCTGATGTTTTCTTTTTTCATTTCTCTAAAAATGTTTCTACACAGTACCAATCTTTCTTTCCCCATTTGCTTTAGTTTCTCTGCCCATATCATAGAAGGGTCCATGTCATAAAAGAAGTCAAAAGCAGTCTTGAATAATCAGAACCCTTCTGCCAGATTGTCTAATGTAAATTTGTTTTCTGGCACTGCTTCTTCTCTATCTTCTTCCTCATAATTTGGCACTGGTTCAGAAGCACTCTTCTCCATCAAGTCTTCTATTAATTTCTCTGCTGTGGTGTCTATTACCTCTTGAATTTCTGCAAAATTCATATCTTTAAACCTTTCACTCCTTACCTTTTTTTTTTCTTTTGCCATATCCACACTCTTCCTTGATTGGCTCCATTGTAAATCCTGTGAAGGCATGCACATCTGGACAGTTCTCTGCAGCAGGAATTTATTGTTTTATGATCGATGGCATTCACAGCTATTTATACAACAACAAATGACATCTTCAGTAGTGTAATTCTTCCAGACTTTTATGATGCTCTTTCTTTCAGGGGTTCTCTATCTGGATTCTCTTCCAGAGCATTGACAATCTTTTCCATATGGTAATGTGTGTAATGAGCCTTAAAGATCCTTATAACCCCTGATCTAGAGGCCAAATTGAGTTGTATTTGGGGGAAAGAAGATGACTTCTACCTCTTCACTGTTGAACTCATGCGGTTTTGCATGGCTGGGGCATTGTCCAATATCAAAAGTACAGTAATAGGAAGTTCCTTACTGGCAAGGTACTTCCTAGCTTCAGGGACAAAGCATCCATGGAACCAATCCAGAAATAGAGTTCTCATTGTTCAACTGAGGTTCTCTTGTCATACAACCAAGAGACTGGCAACAGGTGTTTCTCTTTTCCTTTCAAGGCCCAGGAGTTACCAACTTTATAGATAAGGGCAGTCCTGATCATAAACCCGACTGCATTTACACTAAATGGTAGAGTTAGCATACCCCTTCCTGACTTAAATCATGGTACTTGCTTGTCTTCCTTACTAATAAATGTCCTTTGTGTCAGTTTCTTTTATTTAGGACATTTTTGTCTGCATTTAAAGTGCATTCAGACAGATATCCTTTCTTCTCAATGATTTTCTTAATGGCACCTGGGAATTCATCTGCTGCTTCTAGGTTGGCAGAAGCTACTTCTGTTTCCTGACATTTTTAAAACCAAAACTTTTTCTAAAATTATCAAACTGTCTTTTGCTGCCATTAAATTTTCCAGCTTTAACTCCTTTACTTCCCTTTGGCTGTAAGTTGTCATATAATGACTTTGTTTTTTTATGAATTATGTTATAGTCTATAAGGGTGCCTTTCCTATAACAATCTTGCACCTACATAAAAGCTACATTCTCAATACAGAAAGATATTTTTCAAAAAGTGCAAGGTTTTTGTCCCTGTTGGCATAGATGCAGTGATGGCTATCCAAATTTCCTTTTCTTTCTTTACAATGTTCCTTATCCTATATTCATTTACCTTGAAATTGTGGGCAACTTCATCTGCAGACCTCAATCTGCAGTACATATCAAGCAATTCAAACTTTTCTTTTAGTATCATGACTTTTCTTTGCTTCTTGTGAGCCCTTGCAGTTCACTAGTAGCACTTGGTGTGTGCTTCCTATTGTTATTCAAGGTTTACAGTATCGCACTAAATACAATGAAGAATACACAAAAACCGTGAGAGATCTCTTTTTACTGCAATACACAATTTACTAGAGTGATGAACTGCTCACATGGAAATGATTAGCATCACATGGCATTTTAAGCAGATACAACACTGGAGCTCATTACATAATAACAGGAGGTGGCTATGAAATTATCACAGTAGTACAGTATATACAATTAATTTTATGTGGTTATGATTTAATACTGCATATTTATGCTTATTTACATTTATCTCCACTGTGAATGGTCTCATGTATGGTCTGCAGGTGTTTGTGTGTGTAAATTTTAATACATTTTGACTTCTTTCAATAGATTTGTGTATATTTTATGGTAGTATATAATAAAAGACTATTATCTACATATATTTATGCATGCATGGTATATCTAACTTTTTCTTAATGTTTTTAACGTTTCTAGGTTACACAGTTTACCTGCATGTTTTTTCAAATTATCACAAATCTCCAAAAAGTTTTCCAACATATATATTGAAAAAAAAATCTGCATAGGAGTGCACTTACATGGTTTAAACCCATGTTATTAAAGAGACAACTGTACTGCTTTTGAAAATTCTTTCATCAGTGAACACTTGTTTCCATATCTTGACTACTGTAAATAATCCTGCAATGAACATTGGAGTACAGACACCTCTTTGAGGTACTGAGTTTAATTCCTTTGGACATATATTCAGAAGTGAGATTTCTCGATCAAATGGTAATTCTACTTTTAATTTTTTAAAGAAACCTCCATATTGTTTTCTATAGCTGCACCTTTTTTACATTTCCACTAACCATGTATAAAGGTTTCCTTTTCTCCACTTTCTGACCAATAACAGGTCTGAGCTGACATCTCATTGTAGTTTTGATTTGCATTTACCTAATGATTAGTGATGTTGAACACATTTTCATATACCTGTTAGCAATTTATATGTCTTCTTTGCCAGTTTTAAAATCAGGTAATTTATTTTCCTATTAAGTTATAGGAGTTACTCATATATTTTGGATACTAATGTCTGCTATGATTTGCAAGTGTTCCCCAAAGTTCGTATGTTGGAAACGTAATCTCCAATGTAAAGGTGTTGGGAGGTGGGACATTTAAGATATAATTAGGTCGTGAGATCTCGATCCTCATGGAAGGATTAATGCTATTTTCAAGGGGGGTAGGTTAGTTATTGTGGGTGTTAGTTCCTAATAAAAGGAAGCATTTGGCCCCCATGATGGTTAATATTAGATGATATGATTTGGCTGTGTCTCCACTCAAATCTCATCTTGAATTCCCACATATCATGGGAGGGACCCAGTGGGAGGTGATTGAATCAAGGGGGCAGATATTTCCTGTGCTGTTCTCCTGATAGTGAATAAGACTCATGAGATCTGATGGCTTTAAAAGGCAGAGTTTCCCTGCACAAGCTCTTTTTCCCTGACATCCTTGTAAGACGTGACTTGCTCCTCCTTGCCTTCTGCCATGATTGTAAGGCTTCCCCAGCCACGTGGAACTGTAAGTACATTAAACCCCTTTTCCTGTATAAATTACCCAGTCTTGAATATGCCTTTATCAGCAGCCTGAAAATGGAATAATAGAGTAAATTGATACCAGGAATGGGGTACTGCTGAAAAAATACCTGAAAATGTTGAAGCGACTTTGGAACTGGGTAACAGGCAGAGTTTGGAACAGTTTGGAGGGCTCAAAGACAGAAAAATGTGAGAAAGTATGGAACTTCCTACAGACTTGTTGAATGGCTTTGTCCAAAATGCTGACAGTGATATGGACAATGAAATCCAGGATGAGGTGGTCTCAGATGGAGATGAGGAACTTGTTGGGAACTGGGGTAAAGGTGACCCCCTGGTGGCATTTTGCCTCTGCCCCAGATATTTGTGGATCTTTGAACTTGAGAGAGATGATTTAGGGTATCTGGTGGAAGAAATTTCTAAGCAGCAAAGCATTCAAGAGGTGACTTGAGTGCTGTTAAAGGCATTCAGTTTTGTAGGGGAAGCAGAGCACAAAAGTCAGGAAAATTTGTAGCCTAACAATGTGATAGAAAAGAAAGTCCCATTTCCTGAGGAGAAATGTAAGCCAGCTGCAGAAATTTGCATAAGTAATGAGGACCCAAATGTTAATCTCCAAAACAATGGGGAAAATGTCTCCAGGGCATGTTAAGAGGTCTTCATAGCAGCCACTCCCATTACAGGCCTGGAGGATTAGGAGGAAAAAGTGGTTTCGTGGGCTGAGCCCAGGATCCTCATGCTGTGTGCAACCTAGGAACTTGCTGACCTGCATCCCAGCCGCTTGAGCCAAGGTGGAAAGGAGTCAATGTAGATCTCGGAACATGGCTTTAGAGGGTGCAAACCTCAAGCCTTGGCAGCTTCCATGTGGTATTGAGCCTGCCAGTGCACAGAAGTCAATAATTGGGGTTTGGGAACCTCCACCTAGATTTCAGAGGATGTATGGGAATGCCTGGATGCCCAGGCAGAAGTTTGCTGGAGGGGCGGGGCCCTCATGGAGAATCCCTGCTAGGGCAGTGAGAAGGGAAATGTGGGGTCAGAGTCCCCACACAGAGTCCTTACTGGGGTACCACCTATTGGAGCTGTGAGAGGAAGGCCACCATGTTCCTATTGGAGCTGTGAGAGGAAGGCCACCATCTTCCGCAACCCAGAATGGTAGATCCACCAGCAGCTTGCACCTGCACTTGGAAAAGCTGTAGACATTCAACCCCAGCCCATGAAAGCAGCTGGAAGAGAGGCTGTTCCCTGAAAAGCCACAGGGGGAGAGCTGCCCAAGACCATGGGAACCTACCTCTTGCATCAGCGTGACCTGGATGTGAGACATGGATTCAAAGGAGATCATTTTAGAGCTTTAAGATTTGACTGCCTTGCTGGATTTCAGACTTGCATGGGGCCTGCAGTTCTTTGTTTTGGTCAATTTCTCCCATTTGGAATGGCTGTATTTACCTAATGCTTATACCCTCACTGCATCTAGGAAGTAACTAGCCTGCTTTTGATTTTCCAGGCTCATACATAAAAGAAACTTGCCTTGTCTTGGATGAGACTTTTGACTGTGAACTTTTGAGTTAATGCTGAAATGGGTTAAGACTTGGGATGGTTGGGAAGGTATGATTGGTTTAGAAATATGAGGATATGAGATTTGGTATGGTCCAGGGACAGAATGATATGTTTTGGCTGTTTCTCCACCCAAATGTCACCTTGAATTC